>NC_000021.9:8522360-8706715 GCF_000001405.40 Homo sapiens
GATCTTCCTCCAAAGAAATTGTAGTTTTCTTCTGGCTTAGAGGTAGATCATCTTGGTCCAATCAGACTGAAATGCCTTGAGGCTAGATTTCAGTCTTTGTGGCAGCTGGTGAATTTCTAGTTTGCCTTTTCAGCTAGGGATTAGCTTTTTAGGGGTCCCAATGCCTAGGGAGATTTCTAGGTCCTCTGTTCCTTGCTGACCTCCAATTTTGTCTATCCTTTTGCTGAGAGGTCTGCTTAACTTCCTTTTAGTCAGGTAGCTCCATTTTATGCTAAGCTTCTTAGTTGCTCACCTTCTGCAGCTAAAGAATCAGAAAATGCTGTGAAGGAAAAACAAAATGAAATTGCATTGTTTCTACCGGCCCTTTATCAAGCCCTGGCCACCATGATAGTCATGAATTCCAATTGTTGTCTATGCAGGCCTACCAGATTTCTAACATCTCTGAGCTACCATTTTCTTCTTAGCTATCTGCTCAGCAAATGTATCCAAATGAAAGGCTGTGGAGAATGTTGAAATCACTTCAATGTGTTTCTCTTCTTTCTGGGAGCTTACACACTCAAGTTCTGGATGCTTTGATTGCTATCAGAAGCCGTTAAATAGCTACTTATTTTTAATTAATTTTACCCAGCTTTCATAATTGTTCTTGCCAGGTGGGATGGCCTGATACAAATTAACTTGTCATAGCTAGAATTAGAAGAGGAAAACTTTAAATAGCATTGAGTTATCAGTACTTTCATGTCTTGATACATTTCTTCTTGAAAATGTTCATGCTTGCTGATTTGTCTGTTTGTTGAGAGGAGAATGTTCAGAATTTTATATCTTCAACATCTTTTTCTTCATTAATAAGATACTGAGATTTTATAACTCTTGTCATTTTGGTCACTTATATTTTCATATGGAAATATCGTATAATCCAGGGTTTCCAATATATTTGTGTAAAATTAAGAAAATTATCTTATCTAATAACTTGATCAATATCTGTGATTATATTTTCATTGCCTTCCAATTTTAATATTTGTTCTCTATTCCTTCTTAATCTGGATTGAAGTTCTGATTAATTATTTTAATGTTGCAAATTGTTTTCACTTTTTCCATAAAATGAGTTCTAGAGTTTATTTCTTTACTGCATCATTCTATTTTCAAGTCATGAACTTCTGCTTCAACTAAAAAAAAAAAACTCACCGTTTGTATGAAATTGTTGTGTTCATATTTTATTTTTTATTTACTGTATAATTCAGTATTGAATATATAATATTATAAAATATGTAATAAAAGGATAAAAAATAAGATACAAAAAGTAAGGGGTGTGCGTTTGGAAAATTATACTTGCTGATATGGTGAAATAACTCTGACCAAACTAACCTTCCAGCAATAAAAACAAATTTGGAAAACTGGAAAAAATATACATGGCAACATGTTAGGTCATCTTTGTCTGCCTTCAAACAACTATAAATATTGTTCTACCCAAACAACTATAAATTTTGTAATACCTAGAACAATATAAATATTGTTCTACATTGTAAATTGTTCTACAATTTACAATGGTGTAAACTGTTATACACCATTTATTTGAGTAAATTTTGAAAATATCTATTCTTCATTTTTGCTGTTTCTCGTGTGGTATATATTTCTCAGATAAAAGATATTTTCCCTTTTATCTTTCCCTAAGCTCACACTACATATATTGCATTTATCTTATATCTGCTTTAAAACCTATTTATGTCTTTTTAGGTCACTTACATCAGAGGAGTTGTATTGGTGCAGGAAGGGGAGTTTGATTTAATGAAACAATGCATTAAAAATTTGTATTCACTTTGTGATTCAATGATAGTCAATGTGGCATGTAATTTTTTTCTGTCTTTTAATATTATATTGTCTTTGTTGCTTTTCTCTAACATGAAATATATGTTACACAGGCACAGTGCTGGTATCTTTTCTATTATTATCTTTGAATGGGACTCATTATTTTCTGAGCTATTTATTAAAATGGTGAAGGAAAAGATCAGTAAAGTAAATTATGTCAATAGGCAGTATCAATTTAGGTCTATTTTCCATGAATATTTTCTCAGCAACTGTGGTGTTATGATATATATTGGTTTTCATCCACAGTTCCTGGCTTATAACTCCCCTAGCACTTGTTACAGTCTTTTGTTATAATATTGGGTGTATTAGGCCTCAGGAGCAGGCCTCTCACCTTCTCATGGCCTTTTTTCATTTTTATGTTCCTGCCTTTCTGGTTGTGGGTCTTAAGACCATCTCAAGAGAGAGTCCCACCCTATACCCTGGAGGGAGGAATGCTGATATCATGAAACTTCCATAAAAATCCAGGAGGACAGGGTTCAGTGAGCTTCTGGGTAGTTGAACACATGGATGTTCCTGTAGGGTGGCCCGCCCAGGGATGGCATGGAAGCTCTGCTCCCTTCCCCTATGAATTGCTCTAAGTGTCCTTCATCTATATCCTTTGCAATGTCCTTTATAAAACACCAGGAAATGTAAGTGTTTCCCTGAGTTCTGTGAGCCACTCCAACAAATTAATCAAACCCAAAGAGGGGGTCCTGAGAAGCCAACTCGAAGCCAGCAGGTCAGAAGTTCAGAGGCCTGGACTTCTGGCTGGTAGTTTGAGGGTGGGCAGTCTTGGGGACTGACCTGTGAGACCTGACACTATCTCCAGGTAGATAGTGTAGTGTCAGAACTGAATTAGAGGACACTCAGCTGGTGTCCACTCCTTGGTGTATGTATGGAGGAAAAAACTCACACATTTGGTCACAGAAGTCTTTTCTGTTGCTGATTGATCTTTGTGGCATGAGACTAGAGGAAAAACAGAGAGAGTTTTCTCTACACAGCAACTATATAATCTGTGGGAATATCTCCTTTTACACCTAGCCCTACTTCTGTCTGGCTACAGTCATTTATCTGGCTTTGGGAAATGTGACCACAGAATCAGATATATACATGAGATTAAATAATACATGTGTATGTCATTTAAATATCTAGAAAAGTTATGACTTCACCAGGTATGAAAAATATAAAAAGAACTCTGTCAAGAATCATACAGTAAATAGATTTTTGAATTTAATCTAGTACCTAAATAATCAGAGTAGGGAGGTTAGATATTAAAATCAGGCTAAAGATATAGGCAACATGGATCTAGAAAACATGGATTGCATGGCCATTTCACTTAGAGTTCATGGGCTTGGAATCTCTATTAACATAACTTTTACAATGTTAGAATTTGTTCCCATATTAATGAGGGAAAAACAAACAATTACCCTGAGTATCTGAAGCTCCAGATCTCATTTTCCAGTCAAAATCTCTGATAGGTAAACAACCTGAAAAAGTAGCCACAACTCACTGAGGTGATAACCTCATTTGCTTAAGAGAATGTAATTGTTTTTATGATTTTTTTTATCCCAGGAAAACATTGAAAAAAAGTTTAGAGATGATGAAGTATATGAAAACTATAATATTTATACTTTAGAGATGTGATATTTATTTATAATTGTATTAGTATTTAAATATAGATTAGCATTTTACATTCCAATTTTCAATGTGTAACAGAATATTTTAGATATTGGGGTTGTTTTTTAGTTGAAATAATAAGCGGTTTTACCGAGTTGCCAGTAGTGGTTTAACATTGAAGATAATTTAACATTCATGATTTTGTGAGTTTAATTTATTAGCTCTATAAGGGTTGTTTAAGTACTCTGAAGGCTTTATTTGTTAGTCCGATAATTAAAATGTTCATAAAGATAATTCAACATATTAAATTTGTAAATGTAGTTTAAAATCTTTAAGGGAGTTTAATTAACTAAGTTGTAAATGGACAAAACATTAATCAAAGTCCCCCTTAAAAATAATTTTTAATGTACTAGATTTATAAATAGAACAACAAGATTTCTAATTTAAACTCAAAAATTTTTTAAATTGGTTAACAATTTAACATAATATGCTGCACATTAATTCAGAATATGAAATCTTATATGTAGTCCTTTTTACATTCAAGAATCACATCGATAAACATCACAAAATGACTACTGGTAACCACTATGAAACTCTTTAAGCGGTAGGTCCTGTATGAATTTTACTCCTCATGATTTGAAGATTATGCATAAATTCCTTCTTCCTGTTATTTTGTTTCCAATTTAGTCTTTACATAGACAATTCAATTTAGTCTTTACATAGACAAAACTCCTATAACAAAAAAACTGAAAACAAAGAGGGTGCATTCCTTTGCTTGCTTTCTGAGGACACCCTACTCTAAAAGGCAGTAGCTTTCAATAAACTATGTCTTCTTCTCATTGTACTCTGTGACTCACCTTGAATTCTTTCCTGTGTGAGGCCCAAAAACCATCTCTTGAAGTGTGGATCGGGACCTCTTTTTCCAGTAACACTAGTACTGTTATAATTAGGTAAATGTTACTCACACCTGAAACATGGAGCATAAATGATTGAATTTCATGTCTACACAACATTTTTTCCGTTAAACTGACAATTTTTTAAAATTTTTGTTTTTTTCATTTTTCTATGTATGTATCAAAGTACCAACTCCAAACTCTATTCCAGTTTTCTAATGAGTCTCATAATGCATTCAGAAGCATTAGACATTTTATCAGATTTATCTTTTTGAAAATTTTTTTCTAAATAACTCTAATTTACACAGGTTGCTGTGTACACAAACTGTACATCTAATAATCAGGAGATTCCCTGTACTTTATACCCTACTCTTTCTTCATTTACTTCCTCATTTCAGTGAAACTCTTCTCCAGAAATTCCTGAGATAGGATGTATTGGATGTAGAGTTTTAGAATCTTGCCATGCTGTAAATGCTTATTATTGTTTCCTCCTATCTGATTTAGTTTGGTTGGAGATACTATTCTGCATTAGAAATAATTTGTTTTGCAATTTATAAGGCTTTGCTTGTTTTCTAGTGACCATTTATATTTCTCTTCTCTGGAAATTTTAAGTCTCTTCTTTTTTTTTTTCCTGAGTGTGCTGGTGTGTGTGTGTGTGTGTGTGTGTGTGTGCGTTGGTCTAGGTCTATTTTCACCACTGGCTTGAATTCTCGTGGATACATTCAATCTGAAATTCATGCACTTTAACTCTTACCCATTTCAAAAAAGTATTTACATATATCATACTTCATTTTACTTTTTTCTTTTCCCAAATGCCTGTATTTTGTTGCTGGCCCTATAGGACCAATTATTTAATTCATTAAACTTTCCCTTTCTCATTCCCAACTCTGTTTACACTAACTTTTCTGCAGATGCAGTCAGCTTTACCTTCCAAATCTCCCATTAAGTTATATATTTCTGCAATAAATTTCTTAATTTTTAAGAATTCTATTTTTTTGAATATCCATTTTATATCACACCTTGTTCTTATTGTATTATCTTATCTTCCCTCTCTGAGGAAATTAATAATTACTTTTTTCCCACACTGCATAGACTCTGTTTACTTTCAGTTGTTTTGTTTATTTTTTGTTTCTGTGTTTGTTATTGGCTGTACCTAGAATCTCATGATTGTTTGTTATCTGTTTGCGTTCAAGAGCAATACAATAAACATTTATGGTAAGCTTCAGTTTCTTAGGTAATAATTGTCAACTGTGGCTTCCAGACAGGGCAATCAGGTCGAGAAGTTTTCCCAGAAAAGCTCCTCATGACATATCCACTGGTCTATTCCTTTGGGCTGATCATGATCTTCCAACTAGAGTCTTCCAGTCTTCTCTGAGGATATAAGACTAATAGACTGTTGTGTTTTGAATCTAGATAGAGGTGAAAATTGGGGAGATCTAGCTTTCAGTAGTTACTGTTCATTTTGCACCCCTAATTTATGTATGACCATTGAAGATGATATTGCCAGTACTAAGATTCCTTGTTACCTCTCTAGACAGCAAATGTCTACTTTTCCACCAGCAGAACCTAGAGGCATTCATGCGGCTTGATGGAGTGGACATTGGAAACAGTCTTTCAACCAATCTTCCTGGGTTTTAGCCCTACCTTTACTTCTACTTTCAGAGGTATCCCGTGCAACCAATTTATGAACATTTTGTAGAATCAGATTTCCCCGCTACTTACAATTTTACACTTTTTGTTAAGCTAAGTCAGTTACCAGCCATTTATGGACTTCCTGTTTTCAAAAATGTTGCTGTTTTCTTTTTATATCACTTGAATAAGCCATTTGTCATCATGTTATAGTTTCAGGTGGGAAAATAAGTCTCTCTATGTGTTTAATATGCCATATTTGCTCAGGTGCCTGCATCTACTCTCATCATTTTTTGAAGAAAGGCTAAATTGTAATGACACTAACAACTAGTCTTCAAAGTTTGGTTTATAATTTTTAATGGTGTTTATTTTTAACAAAATTGGTGGAGTTTTTTTTTCTTTGTATATTGATTTTTCTTTTGGTTTTCAGTTGTTTTAAGAAATAAATGGAGGGAGAGATATGCTTCCTTTGCTCCCATTAACCAAAAGAATAGTTTGAAGAATGCAGGAATTAACTTTTCCATTAAGTTTAAGAGGGCCTGCTTGAGACACAGCTGGGCCTTGAGCTTTTAAAGGTGCTATAACTTTACACCGGTTTCATTTTTTTCTATTGTTGGTATCTTCAAATGATCTCATTTCTCTAGATTTATTTTTATAGTTAAATTTTCCCTAAAAAATTAACCTCTTCATATATATTTTCAAATATAATGACCAAAAGGTACATATTACATTCTTTTGAAATTTTCAGTTATCCAGTTTTCCATTTTTCTTGTTATATTTTAATAGTCTCTCTCTTTTTTGTCATCTAATTTGTTTGTCCTTTCAAAGAAATAATTTTTTGTATTTATTGAAAAATTCCATTGCTGTTGGGATGGGAGAAGATTAAATCCTTAGAATAATAGGCCAGGCATGGTGGCTCACACCTGTAATCCCAGCACTTTGGGAGGCCGAGGTGGGTGGATCACTTGAGGACAGGGGTTCAAGGCCAGCCTGGCCGATATGGTGAAACCCCTTCTCTACTAAAAACACAAAAATACAAAAATTAGCAGGTCATGGTGGCATGTGCCTGTAGTCTCAGCTACTTGAGAAACTGAGGCACAAGAAATCACTCAAACCCGGGAGATGGAGGTTGTATTGAGCCAAGATTGTGTCACTGCACTCCAGCCTGGGTGACAGAGCAACACTCTGTCTCAAAAAAAACAAACAAACAAACAAAAACAAAACAAAACAAAAAAGAACTTTAAATAATAGTATATTATAATTTTGCAGATTATAAGATCAATAGATATTTATTGTAAAATGCACAAATAGTGCAACATTTCTTAAAGTAGACCGTGAAATACTTCATGTTGCCATGTTTCTCCAAGAGGTACTATTGGGCCTTCATAAGAAGCAATTCTTCCTTATATAGGACTGTTTGTCTCAATGCACTGTTTGGCCCAATGCATGCTGCATGTGATCTCTACCCTTTACTTGTAAGTGCTTGCCATGTCTCCATCATTGATACAACCAAAAATAACCTACATTTCCAGAATCACTCCAAAGGAATGGTCCTGAGAAAGAGTTGAAAATTCTGAACTCCTCAGATTAGATCTCTATTAAATAATTGAAGCAGTGTGCTAACTAATATTTGCAAAGCTGTTCATTATACAAGTTTAAAAAAATGCAAAGATAGTAATGACTTGAATTTTCAATAGATATGTTTTATAAAAATACTGGTAAAAATTAACATTTTACAGTCATTTTAAATGACGGCAAGATATCCAATGTATTTTCAAATGAAATATCAGTTCACTACAAATCATAATTAGCATAATCTCATTTTTAAAAAAGTACACATATGTGTTTTATGAGTGAGAGTATTTGAGTTCTAATTAAATTGTCGGTGGATTTCTAAGGAATAGAGGAAATGATGAGGCAAGTGGAATTGTAGAGAGAGGAAGATTTCAATTTACATTTAATTCACTCCTGGAGTGTTTGAGTTTTTGTAATAAAACATTATAAAATGTCATATCATTTACAGTATGATCACTTATAAACTTTCATTTCAATTAAAAGGAAATTTTTAAAAAGAGGACTACCAAATAACTACTGCAGCCATTGTAGTTTCATAAATGACTTTTTACTTCCTTCATGTTGTGTTAATGTGTGCCTGCTAGGTCAAGACCCAGATTTGACACCGTGTACAGTCAGTATATAAGTATCATAACAGAAGATTACCTATCTGGATACCCTAGCTTCTCCATTCCTGAGCAAGTTGGGAGGCCATGGGGTCCAACTCTCTCAATATGTACTAAGCAAACAGAGATACTTTTGCCAAAGGATATTCTTCTTGATGGTAAAAATATTAGCTAACATTTGTTAGCTGACAAAAATGAAGTATATTAAATATGTTAAGGGAAACTGTGGTTCAAGTGATAGAGATTTTTAATTCTTTTTGAGATCATGTAATTATACCCATGACAAGGTAAGTTTGATTCAGAATAATTTCTGCCAAAATAAAGGATGCTGTTGATGGCCTGCTTGTCCCCTGCCTATTGACTATTATTCTCAAACTCAAGCAAAATTAATTTTTAAATAACAGGATAAGAAATATGAGTAAGCTCTGCCTTTTGTGGGTCAGGTTGAAAGTATGGAAGAAATTCAGAAAGGACATAGTCAGGAATAGATGAGAAAAGAAAAATATATATTATTTTGGCCATTGATATGGTTTGGCTCTGTGTCCCCACCCAAACCTCATCTTGAATTGTAATCCCCACATATAAAGGAAGGAACCTGGTGGGAGGTGATTGGATCATGGCAGCAGCTTCCCCCATGCTGTTCTCATGATAATGAGTTAAGTTCTCAAGAGATCTGATGGGTTTATAAGTGTTTGACAGTTCCTCCTTCATATGCTTACTTTCTCCCTTGCCTGCCACCATAGAAGATGTGTCTGCTTCTCCTCCCACCATCATGGTAAGTTTCCTGAGGCCTCTCCAGCATGCAGAACTGTGAGTCAATTAAAGCTTTTTTCCTTTATAAATTACCCAGTCTCAGGAAAGTCTTTTATGACAGTGTGAAAGCGGACTAATACAGCCATGAGAAATGAATAACGGTTAAATGGTAGGAAGAAGAAAGAACATTCTTGGCCTAGAGAGTACAAAAGGAAAGCCATGGGGTTGGACCTAAAAAGAATACAAAGGAAGAGGAGAGAAGAGTACTAATTGTGCTCAGGAGCTGAATTGGGAAATTTTTTACAAAACCAAGAAATACCAAACTTAGTGAATTATTGTGGGACCAGTGAATAAAGAAATATTAAAGCAATGAAAAATAATTTAAGTAAATATGAGAAGAAAAATTAAGAATATCTGTATATTTTTGATCAAAGGTTGTAATGATTAAAGTTACATTATAAATTATTCTATCTATGGAATTAATTATGGGTCAAAAAGAATACAAGTCAGACAAACTATAAACTTCTCTCATTCTTTATTTTGGAACTTAAAGAACTTATGTATGTAAGTTAATCAGACATTTTTACGTTATTTTTACAAAAGTACCTATGCATTAATTTAGAAAGATTTTTATTGTCTGTTTTCTATAAAAATAAAGTGTAAGATTTTATTACTTCAGATAACATTTGCTACAAGTCAATCTATGTCTTCCAAGAAAATCTCTTGGTCAGGACTCATACTTCTCCACCATGTTTCAGATTTGATTTCTTTTCAGAGAGGTAAGATTTGTTGCTGTGTCTCCTTAAATTGAAATAGATGTAATTAATGTGGCTATAGTGAGAGTCGTCTTCAATATAGTAATTGTGTTCTGAAACAGTCATCTGAAAATGAAATATTTTCTCCTCTAACTGGAGTTTTTCATTTACAATTAACTTAAACTTTTAGTCTTTACACTGGAAACTCTTCTCTAAAGAAGATATGACTATTTTGTTCTCATAAAAGCTAGACTCTTGGAGAAGACAGAAAGTGCAACGGCAGGAAGATTAATGTGGATCCTAGAATCCAGAAAGTTGTCTAGAGACTATTTAAAACGGTTACTGCAAGAAAGCTCAAAAAGAGAGTAATCATTCAGAATAGGAAGAGATAGAAATCCTTAAACAATTAAAATAACAATACCAGGTGTGTATAGTCAGAGGGAGAGATTTTGCCTATATTATTCTGGGGAGAGAAATAAAATATTTCTGTATAACATCATAGAAATGTAAATGGAGATGTTAAACTTCTCTGATGGGTAGTTTGAGAAAAATTTTAAAAATTGAAAAGTTTTTTTTTTTTTTTGAGACGGAGTCTCGCTGTGTCATCCAGGCTGGAGTGCAGTGGCGCCATCTCGGCTCACTGCGAGCTCAGCCTCCTGGCTTCATGCTATTCTCCTGCCTCAGCCTCTCTAGTAGCGGGACTACAGGCACCCGCCACCACGCCAGGCTATTTTTTTTTTATTTTTATTAGAGACGGGGTTTCACCTTGTTAGTCAGGATGGTCTCAATCTTCTGACCTCGTGATCCGCCTGCCTCCACCTCCCAAAGTGCTGGGAATACAGGCGCAAGCCACCGCGCAGGGCCAAGACTATTGTTTTAAAGTGTGAAAATTGATATTGAATTCTTGTGTTTATATAATAAGATGTCCTATAATTTCTGTTTGGAATATAAAATCAGCAACTAATATGTATTTTCAAAGCATTATAAATACAGAGTGCTAAGTTACTTCACTGTGAAATGTAGTCATATAAAGAACATAATAATTATACTGGATTATTTTTAAATGGGCTGTCTAACATTATATTAAAAGGTTTCATCAGTAATTCATTATATCAAAATGCTCCAGGCCAGGCGTGGTGGCTTATGCCTGTAATCCCAGCACTTTGGGAGGTCGAAGTGGGCGGATCACTTGAGGTCAGGAGTTGGAGACTAGCCTGGCCAACATGATGAAACCCCGTCTCTAATAATAATAATAAAAAAAAATTAGCTGGGTGTGGTGGTGGGCAACTGTAATCTCAGCTAATCAGGAGGCTGAGGCAGAAGAATTGCTTGAACGTGGAAGGCAGAGTTTACAGTGTGCCAAGATCACACCACCCTACTCCAACTTGGGTGACAGAGCAAGACTCAGTCTCAAGGAAAAAAAAAAAGCTCGAAAAATGTTTGCTTATTTTGGTAAAATTATTCATTGACTATGCTCAGAAATCAAGCAAACTGTCCATATTTCATTTTTTGAAATTACATATTAAGGATCTAAAACAAAGGATAAAATATCTGCAAAAATATTTGCATTTCTGGATAAATTAGTTTCCTGATTTAACTCCTTGTTGACACTGAATATATTTTAAATTAAACAAGGTGCTGATAAGACAAAAGACAAAGAAAGAAATTCAAAATAAAATTGAAAGATGAAATCAGAGCTTACCAGAGATAAAATTTCCTCTGAAAGTGTAAAAGAGATCTTCATACAAAAATCAGAATTTATATAGTCTCTTTCCAAAAGACCATAAAACCAATCAGTTAATAGTTGATTTTTATGTGAAAAAAGAAACTGTAAAAGAAAAAATAATGACACCAAAATCCCTTTTAAATTCAAAGAGTCATAAAGTTTCAAAAAATGTAATTCAGATAAGAAATTAATGTCAGCTACATTCTTCCACAGTAAAGGTTTGCATCAACTTTTCAACTAATAGCTTTAGCATTCATTAGAAAACTTGTTTCAACCATTATTTTACTAGGTGTTATAACAGGGTACTACATTCTTTCATTTTTTTCTTCATTTATTAGCTGGAATAATTTCTAAAAGAACATTTCTTCCCAAATGTGTATTGATTACACCAAAACACAGTTTGGACAGGAAAAACAAGATAAGTAGACAAATGCTTGATTTTTATACCCCTCCCCACTTTTCACAGTAATGAATTAGTGCTTCAACAAACTTTAATAGTGATTAAAAACTTATTTCCCATAATAAAAATTTTAAGTTTTTGTAAGTAAATGATAAATAATAATTTATCCAGTATTTCATGAGTACCTATAACCAGCCAGGATCCATTCTCCAACAATGTGGGGAAAGGAGCCCCGTTTAAAATTCCTGTCAGGATACCAGCAAGATGATGAAATAGAAAGCCTCAAAGCCCCTCCACCCTCCTCTCCAAGGAGACACCAGCTCAATAATAATACACAGATAAATTCCCTTCGTGAAAAGTTCAGAGGAGAATTTAAAGACTCTGGATTCCCTGGTAGGCTTCAAGCCAGGCACATCAAAACCAGCAGGTAAATTTGTTGCACTCACTCATACTCCCTCAGCAGTACAACGCAATGGAGAGAAAGCTCCAAACTCCCAGCTCATCTCTAGGGAGAGAAAGAAAAGTCTAGACCATACATCCAACATTTTGACTTTTTGGGAGGGCACTAGCACCTATCTACCCTGAATCTAAGTGCTAACAGGAAAGGATGCCAGATTGCATGCCTGCTGATAAAGCCACAGTTTGGACTGTCACTCAATCACCATCGTTCCTCCTGTGACTCAGTATAACAAGATTGGGAGAATACTCTACAGTTCCTGATTCCCCCACAGAAGTGAAAGAGAATACTGCAACACACATTCAGTGTTCAGACTTCAGGGGAGTTGCCAAGTGATTGTTTTCTGTCTTGCCTGAATTTAAGCGTTAACAGGAAAGCTTTCCAGGTTGGGGATATTAAGAATAAATGAGTTGAGGAAGTTTGGGTTAGCATACATTCACTTATCATATCATCCTTCCCTGGATCAATATGCAATGAGTGGGACAAAACCCTCAACTCCTGGCTTCCCCTTGGAGAAGGAAAAAGCTGGAGTGTGCATCCAGAATTTCAACTTTTCCCAGTCAGCCTGATGGACTGTTTTCTGTCTGACTGGATACTCTTCATGTCTGAGGACTGCTGAGAACAAAAGAGAGCTAGGGGGTTATAGCAACTCCAGATAACCTACAGTACTACAGATAGATAACAAAGAGAGCAAGAGATTACATGCTCCTGAAGAAAGACCTGCAAATTTTTCTCAGAATTTACACACAATTTCAGAGACAATACATTCACAGAAAGATTTGACACACTTCAGAATCTCTAACTGGGCTGACTGGTGAAAGGATTTCCCAGTGCAAAACCAGTCTGTAAAGACAAGGAGAAGTGGTTATTTTTTTCAAATCCTAGAATAACAACACAAAATTAAAAGGCACACAAGGAAACAGGGAAACATGGCCTAATAAAAAGAAGAAAATAAGTTTCCAAATATCAACCCTTCAAAAATGGAGGTATATAAATTATCTGGCAAAGTGACATATCCTGACACATTCTCCAGGATAGATCAAATGTTAGGTCACAAAGAGAGTCTTAACAAAATTAAGACAAAGGAAATCAAGAACCTGTTTTGACCAAAAGTAGGATGAAGCAAAAATTCAATAGTAGAAGGAAAACGGAAACATTTACAAATATATGGAAATTAAACAACATACTATTGAACAACCAATGAGTCAAAGAAGAAATCAAAAAGAATATTAGAAAACAAGCTGACAAAAAAATAAAAAAACACAACATAGCAAAACTTAGAAATGCAGCAAAGGCAGTACTAAAGAGGGAAATTTATAGCAATAAATGCCTACCTTAAAAAAGAAGAAAGATCTCAAATAAACAACCTAACTTTACAACTCAAGGAACTAAAAAAAAGAACCAAGCCCAAACCCAGCAAAAGGAAGGAAATAATAAAAATTAAGCAAATAAAGGATATTTTCACACACATATTTTCATTATAACCAGAAAGTAGAACCAATGCAAGTGAATAGATTAAAAAAAAACTGTGGTATTACTATACAATGGAATATGGCAATTAAAAAGAGAAAAGACTCAACCAAATAAAATTAAAAATGAAAAAGTAGACATTGCAATTGATGCCACAGAAATAAAAAAGATTATTAGAGACTGCTGTGAATTATTATGGTAATAATTGGATAACCTAGAAAAAAAACAAATGACTGGAAATATACAACAAACAACACTGAATCAAAAAGAAATACAAAATATGAACAAATCTATAGCTAGTAAGGTGTTTAAATTAGTAATCAAAAATCTTCCAACAAAGAAAATCTCAGGTGCAGATGACTTTACTAGAGAATTCTGCCAACATTTAAGGAAGAATTAATGCCAATATTTCTCAAACATTCCTAAAAAGTTAAAGAAGAAAGAACTATTCTAAACTCTTTTTGTGAAGCTAGTATAACCCTAATATCAAAGCCAGACAATGGTGCTACAAGAAAAAAAATTAAATATTCCTAATGAATGTAGATGCAAAATCCTCAACAAATACCAGTAAATTGAATTCAACAGCACTATAAAGTATCATCCACCATAATTATGATGGATTTGTTCCTGGAATGCAAGAAGGGTTCAACATGTGCAAATCAATATAATATGCCACATTAACAAAATAATTCAAATAACGTGTTCATCTCCGTAGATGGAGAAAGATCATTTGATGAAATTCAACATTCTCTCGTTAGAAAAACACTTGAAAAAATAGGAATAGAAAGAAATTATTCCAACAGAATAAAGGCCATATGTAAAAACCCACATTTCACACCATATTAATGAAGAAAAACTGAAATCTTTTCTTCTAAGATCAGGATCAGGAACAAGGCAAGGACGCCTTTATGAAGTACATAAAGTCCTAGCTAAAATAATTCAGCAAGAAAAAGATATAAAGGCATCCAAATTGGAAAGGAAGAAGTAAGTAAAATTTTTTCTATTCCCAGAAAACATCATCTTATATATTAAAAAAACCCTAAAGATTCAACAAAAAGCTCTTGGAACTAATAAAATTAATTCAGCAAAGTTGCAGGATTCAAAGTAAAGATTCAAAAAAACACAAACAGCAAACATTCTGAAAAGGAAATTAAGAAAACAATCCATTTGCAATGGCATCAAACTGAATAAAATACTTTGGAATAAACTTAGCCGGTGGGGGAAAGACTTGTACACTGAATACTGCAAAATATTGCTGAAAGAAATTAAGGAAGACACAAATAAATGGAAAGCCATCTCATTTTTGTGAATTCAAAGAATATTTTTAAATTCTAATACTAGCCAAAGCAATTTACAGATTTGATGTAATCCCTTGGAATTGTATAAATTCCAATGATAATTTTAGAGAAATAGAAAGGACAATTCTAAAATCCATATGGAACCACAACGGACCCTGAATATCCAAAACAATCCTAAGAAAGAGAAACAGTTAGAGGCCTCACATTTTCTGACTTTGAAATATACTACAAAGCTACAGCAATCCCAATAGTGTGATATTAATGTAAAACTAATCATATAGATGAATGGAACAGAATGGATTATTGGAACAGAATAGAAAGCCCACTGGGAGGCCAAGGCGGGCAGATCACCTAAGGTCGGGAGTTCAAGACCAGCCTGGCTAACATGGTGAAACCCCGTCTCTATGAAAAAATACAAAAATTAGCTGGGCATGGTTATGGGCACCTGTAATTCCAGCTACTTGGGAGGCTGAGGTAGGAGAATCGCTTGAACCCAGGAGGAAGAGGTTGCAGTGAGCCAAGATCACACCACTGCACTCCCGCCTTGGTTACAGAGCAAGACTCCATCTCAAAAAGAAAGAAAGAAATAAGAAAGAAAGAAAGAAAGAAAGAAAGAAAGAAAGAAAGAAAGAAAGAAAGAAGGAAGGAAGGAAGGAAGGAAGGAAGGAAGGAAGGAAGGAAAGCAAGCCCAGAAATAAACCCACATGCATATAGTCAAATGATCTTTGACGAGGGTGCCAAAACTATACAATGGAGAAAGGATAATTTCTTCAACAAATATTGTTGGGAAAACTGGATATCCATATGCAAAAGAATGAAAGTGAACCGTTATCTTAAAACTGTTCACAAATGTTAACTCCAAATGGATTGAAGACTTAAATGTAAGAACTAAAGCTGTAAAACTACAAGAAAACATAAAGAAAGGCTTTATCACATTGGTCGTGGCAATAATTCCTTGGATTTGATACCAAAAGCACAGGCAACAAAAGCAAAAATAGGTTAGGGTGATTACATCAAGATAAAATGCTTCTGTGCAAAAAAGGAAACAACAGAGTGAACAGGCAGCCTATAGAATTGGAGAAAATATTTGAAAACCGTATATGTGCTAAGGGCTTAATATCCAAAATATATAAGAAACACCTAGAACTCAAAAGCAAATAAACACATAACCCAATTTTAAAATGGCCAAATTCTTAAATAGATATTTTTCAGGAAGACATGCAAATGACCAACAGGGATATAAAAAGATACTCAACATCATTAATCATCAGGGAAATGCTAATTAAAATCACAACGGGATTTATCACCTCATAACTGTATGACCATTTTTAAAAAAAGAAAATAGCAAGTGTTGATGAAGATGTGGAGAAATTGAATTAGAACCTTATGTACTGTCAGTAGGAATGTAAAATGGTAGAGCCACTATGGAAAACAGTATGGAGGGTCCTCAAAACATTAAAAAATAGACCTACCATATGATGCAGCAGTCCCACTTGTGGGCATTTTTCCAAAATAATTGAATAATTCCAAAATAATTGAAAACAAGATCTTGAAGTGATATTTGCATTCCCATATTCGTTACAGAATTATTCACAATAGCCAAAAAGTAGAAACAATCTAAAAGTCCATCATCAAATGAACAGATGAAGAAAATATGGTATATGTGTGTGTGTGTATATATATATATATATATATATATATGTATGGTATATATATGTATGGTGTATATATATATGTATGATATATATAGTATGGCATATATATGTATGGTGTATATATATATGGTATATTTATGTGTATATATATGTATATATGTATATATATGTATATATACATACACACACAGAATGGAATATTAGTCAGCCTTCAAAAGGAAAATTCTGTCGTATTTCAACATGTATCAATCTTAAGGATATTGTGCTAAGTGAAATAAGCCAGACACAAAGACAAATATATCGTGATTCCATTTATATGATGTATTGAAAGTAGCCAAACACATGGAAACACAAGATAAAATGGTAGTGGTCAGGGCCTGGAGGAAACAGGAAATCTGGAGTTGCTGTTCACCAGGTGTAGAGTTTCAGTCAAGCAAGATAAAAACATTCTAGATTTCTGCTGTACAACAATGTGTATATCATTAACAAAATGTTCTGCAAACTTAAAATTTTGTTAAGATGGTAGATTTTTTTGTTATGTGTTTTTTAATTACAAAAATTTCTGTCTGTATTTAGTTTACATTTTAGTAAGAAAAGACAAATAACCTAATAAATGGTAATGATAAATGCTGTAAGGATATCTAGAGCAATGAAAGAAGTTATGGATATGGGAGTATAATTTTAGATAGTGAAGATTTCTGTATTCAAATGCCACATGCAAAAAGGACTAAGGGGAATGAGGAGATGAGTCATATGGAATGCCCAAGACACAGAAAAAGGCAGGCAGAGAAAATAACAAGGATAAAGACACTGAAGTAAAATCATGCTTTCTATGTTTCAAAACAGCAGCAAGTACACTACTGTGATAGAGCAGGAGTGACCAATGGGAGGCTGGAGATTTTGTCAGAGATATTGTCAAGGCTCAGGATCGTACAGGGACTTGTAAGCCTGGAAAGCACTTTGAATTTTATTCAGAATGAGATGAGAAGCCATTGAAAAGTTTTTAAGCAGATGAGTAAAATAATCCACCTTGTATTTTAAGAGGAGCATTCTACCTTCTCTGTGGAATAGAGAGGTGGAAGGGAAAGCTTGAAGCAGAGAGAGCAGTGAAGAGTGTGCTGTAATATTCTTATGTGAGAAATAGTGGAGGGAATGAGAGGTGGTCAGCCTTAAACTGCCATTTGCTCTCTGTATCAGGGCTCAGGGACTTTCAGACTCTCCAGGGATTCCTTACAGTTTTTACATTTGTTTCTCAGTTGCAAACATAATCTCTTCACTCTATGAGAACTCTAGATCTGAATCCTTGTTATGAGTCAGGAGTCCTCTCTAGTTTACTCTCTTGTCAGTAACTAGACTTGAAATGTTTTGATATTAATTGATATAGTAATAAGATTGGTTAGAGAAATAGCAAAGAGAGAGCATCCCCATCCTATGACCATATCAGCACCAGAAGAGAAAAACACATCTACACAGTTTTTCCCTTGGCATAGGTCCTGGTATTCTGTTAGGGAACAGGTTATGAAGGAAATACAAAGGGTCTTTGTACTTACTTTCAGAATGTATTTTCTTTAACATGAAAAGAATCCAAGGCCTTTTTGCTTCTAATTGCTTTTTGTGTATCTACTACCATCCCTTGCTAAATTATTGATAGGTTTCCTCAAATCTCGGCATGATGTCCTACATTCTAAATTTTCAATAGCTGAAAATTTCACCTTTTCAGTGCCTTCAAGTTTATCTCAGTAAAAAGTTGAGAAAGACTGTAATAGAGTTATTTAATCAGATTTTTTTCATCTACCATAATTTTTGAATAAGGAAAAACAGCAATACTTTTTCTCCTTACTTGGCAAGTAATTTTCATAGAGAGGAAAAAAACAATCAAAACAGGTACAAAATGTAACAAAACCAAAGGACCATGTGAGGTGAAATTTAAAATGAGAAAAATGTCCACAGTACTTTGGGCAATGCAACTCCTGGGAAATAGTAACTCAGCACCTGAGAGCTAAATAATTCTACAGGACTAAATATATATTCTGGTACTCAAGGGGAAAATGACATCATATAGAGTTTAGGTCTATTAAAACATATTTGTAGATGTGTAGGTATGAAAAATGCTTTTAGAGATGGGAAGAGAAAAAAAACTCATTTGTTTAACAAGTTCTGATGGGTGCTTTTCACTAAAAGAGAAACATCATAAGTTTATAACACTCAGGATGTAAATTGCGGTACATTTCAAATTACATGAGAAACTAAAGAAAATATCTGTTTCGGGTCACTGAATAATTCATTCTTATTTAGTGTTTGTCCCTAATTTCTGTGATTTTATGAATAATTCAGAGCAATGATTTTACCTTTCTCTACAGCTGTATTTGGTAAATGTCCACATTATTTTTGTTGCAAAGATGCAGCCAAGTTTCTTAGAATAGGAACAATGTTTAGAATGTATTTTTTCCATAATGAAAAATATTATGAAAGGGGAAACTAAGATATAGCTTACAGGGTTCTCTATTGTGATAACTAAAACATACTTAGCCTCAAGTAAAACTGACATCTTGCTAACTGTTGGTGGTGAAGGAGAAAGAAGACAACACTGAACCAGACTGGGGAAAGATGAATTCAAATTAGTTAGAGATTTGTCACCCAAAGCAAAACAAATTCAAGCTTGAACTGAGTTGACATTGGTAGTTATTATGGACTGCAAATCCCTCAAATTCATATGATGAAATCCTAACTCTCAATGTATTGGTATTAGGAGGTAAACCTTTGGGAGGTAATTAGGTCATGAAGATGAAACCCTCATCAAAGGAAAGTAGTGCCCTTCTAGAAAGAGATACAAGAGAGATTTTTCTCTCCTCCATGTGAGGATAAAATAAGACAGCCATCTGTAAACCAGGAAGACAGCCTTCACCAAGAACCCAACCATGCTGACTCCCTGATTTCAGATTTACAGCCTACGGATCTGTGAAAAACAAATGTTTATTGTTTTACTCGCTCAATCTGTGTTTTCCGTTATAGCAGCCCACATTGACTAAGAAAATACTAAACCCTTTATTTGATAGATAAAGATAGTATCAGACAAGGTATCATATGAGTAAAAACCTAAGATTTATGTGTGATCATTTTACATTGGAGCAGCTACTGAAACTTGAGACCAAAACCACTAGCTAACATCAGTATGTCAACCCAAAACATTTGGGACAGTAATGAAGATACAGCAAATGAATTGTTTTAATATATAATCAAGGCAAAGTTATCCTCAGAATTATAGGAAAAAAATCCACTAAATTTGGCTTTTGAGAAATGCATGGTTCATTGTATACCTTGATACTGGGCTTAAAGCAGCAATCCTAATTCCAGATCTACCTTCAAGTCTGGGTCAGTGTTCTCAAATGCTGCCAGTTTCATGTCAGGACCGGCTTAATATTGAAGGTAACTGAGCATTGCTAATGTCTGACTGGAGCTGAAAGAGGCCAAAAGCAGGGTTATAACTTTGGGAAAACTGACCTGGTGTTAACTTCCACGCCTTCCATTTCAAACGGGAAGGTATCACAATTAGAAGCTATTAACAGTCTTATCTAATAAATTGTGGATAATTTCTTTTTTTTTCTTTTTTTTTAAGAGTCAGGGTCTCACTCTGTCACCTAGGCTGGAGTGCAGTTGTGCAATTGTTACGGAATCTTTGGGGTGTCGATTTTCTGGTTTGAAAACTGTGGTTGGTGGCATCTTTGTCCGAGTTCTTGTCCTGCATCCAGGAAGAATGGTGTAGGTAGACAAGTGAAGGGTTAAAGGAGAGGAGCTTTATTAAGTGTTAGAACAGCTCAGAGGAGACCCATAGTGGGTAGCTCCTCTCTAGGTTGTTCTGTCAAGTGTTCAGCTCTCAGCAGAAAGGGAAACCCTGGAGAGGGTTGCTCCTGTCTGCAGCTGGTAGTTCCCAGACATCTATGCAGGTCTCTGAAGCATTCAGCAGAGAAAATATCTGGCCCTCCCATTGTCTCCAGCTATCAGCAGAAAGGATAGCTCCTTCCTGCCTCTAGTCTTCCCTCCTCTGTCTTCTGCCCTGTTCTGGCTGAGTCCTGGGCTTTTATGGATGTCAGAGGGGAGGAAATGTATGCCCGTTGGTCCATGGGCAGCCATGGGCGGGCCCAGGAAAAAGCACCATGAGTTTTGCCTCCAGTCTGCAGGACTGGCAGCCTAGCCTGCAGGTGGGGCTTCACTGGGGACCCATCACCTTCCACCCAGGAGCCTGTCTGCCTCCCACAACCATCCATGGCACCCAGGCTGCTGGCATCAAGGGGCACTTGCAGGCCAGTGCCAAGCCACCCTCGTACCCCCTCATCTTCCCCTCCCATGCTCCTGCTCCTCAGTGTCCAAAGTCCAGAAGGGGCTGAGGTGGCAGGGGACTGGCATGTCAGCACTGCTTCCAATGTGTGCACACCTGGCTGGGCAGTGACAGCACCCTGCTGGGTCCCAACCCCACTCTGAGATCAGAGCACAGAGCCAGGAGGTGGGAGAGACCAGGCAGCAGGAAGAGGTGCCTCCAAGCCTGCAAGGGGCAAGGGGGGCGTTCCCAGGCTCCCCAAGAGTGCAGGGAGGCCTGAGTCTGCAGCATTGGTTTGGGTGGCTGGGTGGTGGGCTAGGGTGGGGACAGAGTAGGGGAGTTGGATAAACTCCCGTCTGCTCCATGGAGTGGGAGGTCCAGGTCTACAGCTACAGCTGCAGTTTGGGCAGCTGCAGCAGCATCCAGGGAGCTCCCATTCCAATTCGGAAGGGCAGGGCTCCCACTTGTCCTCATCCTGCCAAATCCAGGGAGCATACAACCCTGGCCACACCTCTCCCCTGCAGCTGGCATGATGGCAGCAGCCACTGCCATCACAATCACAGCCTATTGTAGCCTCAAACTCCTGGGCCCAAGTGATCTTTTTACCTCAGTCTCCCCAATGGCTGGGGCCACAGGCATGTGCCACAATGCCCATCTAATTGTTTTTTTATTTTTTGTAGAGAAGGTGGTCTGGCTATATTGCCCAGGTTAATCTCTAATTCCTGGATTTAAGCAGTCTTCCTGCCTCATCCTCCTACATGGCTGGGATTACAGGCAAGAGCGACTGTGCCCAGCTCCTGATAAATCCTTTCTTAATCAAAGTCTTCATCAGCAGCCTTACTTACCACAATCTTCCCAGATGATCTCAAGTATCCAAGGAAACTAAAAGTAGCTACTGCTGACAAAACTGTTGTGTTCCCTGATATTGTGCAAGAATAAAATGATGCTAGGTCTTCTGTTAGCTAGCTCTTCTTCTGTAACAGTCTCTTTCTATGTATTAATCAAAACTGATGCAACTTTTTAAAGAACTATTCCTAGAAACTTTCTCCCTTCCCAGTCAGAATTAATGTATTATTTATCCATTTAAAGGACTATATAAGTAGGACATGCTTTGGGTATATAACAGCACTTACGGCCATTTACTTTGTGGTTCAGTGATTTCTGTGTGCTTCTGACTTGTATATACTTTCAGCCCTTGTAGATGTAGTGGTGGTAGTTTTCCCAACTTAAATTTATCTTTATCATCCACCTTTATCCACAGTCCTCCTCATGATTAGCACATTGTCAATAAATATTTACTAAGCTGAACTGAAAGTTTTTATTATGCATACCTACTAAGATGTCCATGTCCATGGTCATGCAGAACAGCAGAAGATAATTTTTTTTTACCAGTGTATCTATTGCTAACAATTGCTTCAAGGTCAGGAGCCAACTCATGTATTAGACATGTAAATCTTGTGAAAATATTCATATTGGAAACAGCATGTAGCAAGTGCAAACAGAGCTAAATAAATCCTTTAATTTATCACAGTCCCTTCGAAGTATGAATTCTTCTTCTAGCATTGCATCAAATTTGATAAAATCCAAAAATATTTTATCTCAATGTTTTAAAAGTGTTGATGCTGTATACATTGAGTTATTGTACAATTGAATGGAACCCACATTCAAAGTTTTTCCTCAATGTTAAAATTAAATGGTTCTCTCTGTGATTCCTTCTGTTTGCAGTTCTTCTCATTTCATTGTTAGAATTTGCCTCTACAAATGTAATTCATTTGGCATTGCAGACGTTCTGATCTTTTCAAATGTGTATTTTGACAGGTGCCTCATACATTCATCCTTGGTTTGTGCTGTGGGCCTAAAGTTTATATCTCTCCAAAATTCATATATTGAAATCTAATTCCCAATATGTTGGTGTTAAGATGTGAGGCTAGGCTGGACACAGTGGCTCACACCTGTAATCCCAGCACTTTGGGAGGCCGAAGTGGACAGATCACGAGGTCAGGAGTTCAAGACCAGCCTGGCCAACATGGTAAAACCCCATCTTTACTAAAAACACAAAAATTAGCCAGGTGTGGTGGCACACGCCTGTAATCCCAGCTACTCGGGAGGCTGAGGCAGGAGAATTGCTTGAACCTGGGAACCAGAGGTTGCAGTGAGCTGAGATTGTGTCACTGCACTCCAGCCTGGGCAACCGAGCAAGACTCCATCTCAATAAATAAATAAATAAATAAATAAATAAATAAATAGGGGCGGTCTTTGGGATGTGAGTAGGTTAAGGGGGTTGGGGAGCCGTCATGAATGGGTTAGTCCCCTTATAAAAGAACCCATAGGGAGCTACTTTGTCCCTTTTGCCCTTATGCCATGTGAAGATGCAGCAGTAAGTTTGAGAAACAAACCTCACCAGGTAACAACTCTGCTGGCACCTAGATCTTGGACTTCCCAACCCCCAGAACTGAGAATAATAAATTTGGTTTATAAATTACCCAGTCTAAGGTAATTTGTTACAGCAGTCCAAATGGACTCAAACAGGTTGTAAACACTTGAAAAATGAGTATCTGTATTGAATCGCATATTTTAGCCGTAGTTTGCTTGTAGGAGTACAGCCTATGTCCAAAGAATTAATAACTGACTCTCATTTGAATGGCCAAGATTTGCTCTCTATTTCCAGTATTTTATTTTTGTGCCTGTATGTTGGATACAGGCAAATTTTTACACAATAAACCAGAAAAGTTCAATAGTCTTTCATTCTCTGCTTTCACTAACTTCTTTTAAGTATATTTCAACAATTATCTTAATATTAGCACCAGTAGATTAAGCGTACTGTTATAAACACTCTTTCTATTTATTCAAAGCTTGAATTGAGCTAGCTGCTAATAACATTTTTTTAATTAGCATTGCAACCATATTCACCTACCATATTTTTCCCTCTCCTTTGATTTCTGGGCCATTACTCACTTTCACAATTTGTATGTGACTCACCATTCTATACCTACTTTTGCCTTACCTTAAAATATTTTTTGATTTAATATATTTACATTTTTTCTCCTTTTGCTTTTGGAATTGTATTACTATCACGGGGGGTTTTCTTTTCCTTTTTCAAGAGTTTCTCAAAATTCTTGACCAAAGCCCTATCCCCTGAAGTGAGTAATATTCTTCACTATATTACCGCATCACATGTTTACATCAGGCTAAAGTAAGAAACACTACTCGTGTTCTGTAGCTAATTGATAATTGTTAAAATAAACTTAACAATTGATAACAAATTATAGAAAATGATTATTTTAAGGTTCTTTATACTTGTAATCTTTGTAAATAATATGAGTTATCACCTCTTTCTGTAGCTAATTGTATAGGGAGCACACCCAGTTAGTGGCATATTTCTTAACACATTTCTGATATCAAGAATAACAAATACAATGCAGTGGGGAGTGGAGAAAAGAAATTAAGTGTGGCTACATCTGCAAGTAACAATTGCAGCCACATTTTGTCAAGGGTTAAACAATCGTCAATGAGCTATACACATTGTTTGTCACCAGAATAACTGAATCAAGAGGTTCCAACTCATTGTTTCATTCCCATATACCTGAACATCTGGGACATGAAGAAATAGTGTGTATGTGTTAATAGGCAAAGCTGTAGTAATGACTTCTACATATTGGAAGCAGTTATCTATTTTCCTGTTACTATCTAATTTTTACACAAAAATACCTCAGATGAATATTGACAGAAACTCAGAAAGAAGTATGGCATAAACTAATACGAAGGTAACGTAGTAATGGCAGAAAGTTACAGCTTAAAAGTTTTTACAGTGGGAAGACTATTGTAATAGTGAGAGCCATGTATAAGTTTGTTTTGAAATGATAATGTACAGCTAAAGAGTATAATGCTCAAATTTTTGTATATGAAGTTTTCGTAATTCAACAAGTAGGGTTAAGAGACAATAAGAATTACACAGAATGTTGGATTTTATTTCACGTCTGTTCCTCTTGTCAGACATTGCCATCTTTCCCATGTTTCGTCAGGTCTTCAGTAAGTTAACAACATTCACTCTGTGAAAAGTACCACATGATTTATTGTATAAATATAATTGGAAATACACTGTGGTTCCTCATATCCTCAAGCTTATAATTCAGTTTGGAGACTACACTATATAAATGTAGAAATGCCATAATTATGCTTATAAATTGATTTTTTAAAACATGCAAATTAATTTGGTAGAAACTGAATACATAAGTATGGGGGTGCCATATAAAATAATGATCAATGCCAGTGGGATTAATCAAAGAAAGTTTCTTGGGGAAGTGAATTCTAAACAGAATTTGGTATATTTGTTTATTTAGCACTCATTTTATGTTTTCTAATTATAAATATAACGTATTCTCATATTCTGAAGGTAATAAATTTGCAAATTTTAAATTAGTAGGAAGAGTAAAAGGAACTAAGATCCCACTGTCCAAAGGTAATCATTATTCAGGTTCTGTTCTTTTCCTTCCATTTGGTTCTCTGATATTTTCTTCATGGTTGCCATTACATCACATATTCAATATTATGACCCACTTTGTGTTTCAGTCAGTGTCTATACATACAACTTTGAATGATAGAAATGTCTCATAGAAACTAAGTTTAATCAAATCAAGAAACTAAGTTTAATGCCAGTCTATATCAATGTACCGTTTCCTTCTAGCTAAATATTTAGGCTTTTCCAAATTTTGTTAACATAAATAACTCCAAAGATATTTTTGTTAACATTTTCTCTTAGTGTTACTTTCCTAAGGTAGACTTTAACAATTTACTATAACAAATTATAAAAAATGATCATTTTAAGGTTCCTTATTCTTGTACTATTTGTAAATAATGTTATCACTTCTTTCGAATTATTTCTTCTTGATATTTTATTGCATTGATCAGAATTCTCAGAATTGTAATATAATGTTAATTATTAAATATTACATTCCTTCTCATGTTAATAGTTATTATTTTGTAAATATGATGCTATTAGCAAATTTTAGATTGGCATCCTTAATATATTATTCAGATGTTAGCAATTGCACTTTTCCCTAAAAAGGCTCTTTTTGTGGCTTTTTGTCCCCGCCATGGCTTTTTACCGCCGCAGTATTTTGCCCCCGCCGCCGTGGGTTTCAGTCCCCGCCGCCGCGGCTTTTGGCCCCCGCCGCCACTCTTTTGACAACGCGGCTTTTTGCCCCCGCCGCCGAGGCTTTTTGCCGCCGTGGCTTTTTACCCCAGCCGCCGGTGTTTTTTGCGACTTTTTCCCCCCGCCGCCGCCCTCGCGGCTTTTTTTGCCCCCGCTCCAGATGGTTTTTGCCCCCACCAGCGCGGCTTTTTGCCCGCGCCGCCGGGGCTTTTTGCCACCGCGGTATTTTGCCCCCGCCGCCGCGGCTTTTGCGGCTTTTTGACCCCGCCGCCGCGGCTTTTGCCGACACGGCTTTTTACCCCCCGCTGCCGCGGCTTTTTGCGCCCCGCCGCGGCGACTTTTTGCTCCCCGCCTCCGCGGCTTTTTGCGCCCCGCCGCCGCGGTTTTTGCGGCTTTTTGGTCCCCGCCGCCACGGCTTTTGCCAACACGGCTTTTTACCCCCCGCTGCCGCGGCTTTTTGCGCCCCGCCGCGGCGACTTTTTGCTCCCCGCCTCCGCGGCTTTTTGCGCCCCGCCGCCGCGGTTTTTGCCAACGCGGCTTTTTACCCCCATCACCGCGGCTTTTTACTCCCCGCCGCCGCGGCTTTTTGCCCCCGCCGCCACGGCTTTTGCCGACGTGGCTTTTTGCGCCCCGCCGCCGCGGCTTTTGGCCGTCGCGTCTTTTTGCCCCCGCCGCCCCGGCTTTTTGCTCCCGCCGCCGCCGGTTTTTGCCGCCGGGGCCGTTTGCCCCCGCCATCGCGGCTTTTTGACCCCATCGCCGCGGCTTTTTGCAGCTTTTTCCCCCGCCGCCGCGGGTTTTGCCGACGCAGCTTTTTACTCCCACTGCCACGACTTTTTGCGCCCACCGCCACGCCTTTTTGCCCTGGACGCCAAGGCTTTTGCCGACGTGATTTTTTACCCCCACCGCCGCGGCTTTTTGCCACCGCCGCCGCGGGTTTTTTCCCCCGCCGCCGCGGCTTTTTGTGTTTTTTTGCCCCCGATGCTTTCGGCCCCCGCCGCCGCAGCGGCTTTTTGCCCCCGCCCCCGACGCCGCGGCTTTTTGCCGCCGCCGCCACCGGCACGGCTTTTTGGCCGCGGCGACTTTTTGCGCCCACCGCGGCGGCTTTTTGCTCCCCGCCGCCGCGGTTTTTGCCAACGCGGCTTTTTACCCCCCTCGCCGCGGCTTTTGCCGACGCGGCTTTTTACTCCCCGCCGCCGCGGCTTTTGACGACGCGGCTTTTTACTCCCCGCCGCCGCGGCTTTTGGCCGCCGCGTCTTTTTGCCCCCGCCACCGCGGGTTTTTGCCGCCGAGGCTTTTTGGCTCCGCCGCCGCGGCTTTTTGCCCTCGCCGCCGCGGATTTTTACCTCCGCAGCCGCTGCTTTTTGCAGCTTTTTCCCCCACCGCCGCGGGTTTTGCGGACGCGGCTTTTTGCGCCCACCGCCGCGGCTTTTTGCTCCGTGCCGCTCGTTTTTGTCCCCGCCGCCGCGGCTTTTTGACCCCGCCGCCGCAGCTTTTTCCCCCAGTCGCGGGTTTTCGCCCCCACCGCAGCGATTTTCTGCCCCCGCCGCCGAGGCTTTTTGCCCCCGCCGCCACTACTTTTTGCGGCTTTTTGCCCACGCCGCCGCGGCTTTTTCCCCCACCGCCCGAGCTTTTTGCCGCCGGAGCTATCAGCCCCCGCCGCCGTGGCTTTTTCCCCCGATGCCGCGGCGTTTTGCCCCCGCCTCCGCGGTTTTTTTGTCCCCGCCGCTGAGACTTTTTGCCGCCATAGCTTTTTACCCGCGCCGCCACGGCTTTTTGTGGTTTTTTTTGCCCCCACTCCCGCTGCTTTTTGCTCCTGCCACCGCGGCTTTTTGCCCCCGCCGCGGATTTTTACCCCCGCCGCGGAGGATTTTTCCCCTGGTGCTGCGGCTCTGAGGGCAGGAGCGGCAGACTCGGCTGCTAGCTCCACTGGCGTCCTGGCAAGGGCAGCGCCGAGGGGCGCTCCTGGTCCAGCTCTCCTGGCTCGGGGGTTCTTTGCCTAGGCGCCGGCGCCCCGGGCTCCCTGCCTCGGCCTCTGTGGCCTGCATAGAGCGGCGCTGCGCGCAGAGGCGATGGGAGAGAAGAAGGAGGGTGGTGGCGGGGGTGATGCGGCATTAGCGGAAGGTGGCGCAGGGGCCGCGGGCAGCTCCAGAAGCTCATTGGCATCTTCATTGGCAGCCTTCGCTGGCTGGGCACCAAGTGCGCTGTGTCGAACGACCTCACCCAGCAGAAGATACCGACCCTGGAGGTAAGGGGTTCGGGGACCCGGGCTGGGCTCCAGGAGGAGCTCAGACACCTCCCTCGGGGCCCCAGTTCACTCCTGGCCCAGTTGCATCCTTGAGCCCGCATTGCGCCCTTGGAGTCTTCCCCTCCCTCCTGCATTCGCTGATGCGGCAGCAGGAGGACCCGGGACCAGCCCTCACCTTGAGCGCGATTTGTGGGGCGGGTGCGTGGTGGGAACTGGGATGAAGGATCCAGGGTCCTGTGGGGGGGGGTGGTGGGCTGTGCGCGGACATCCCCTTCCACCCTGAATTTCCATCTGGTCCAGCCCTCTCATCTTGTAGGTGAGGAAACCGAAGGCCTGAGGAAGAACTGACTTGCCAGGAACCCCTGTTAAGGAGAATTATCAAAGTGTGGTTATTAAAGGAGAACTGAGATGGGAGTCAGACCTGGAGGCCCACACTCTTGGTTAAGACATTATACCACCTTGAGTCTGGCCTGTTTACTGAGGGTGAGCCACTCCATCCTTGTCTGATTGTGGGGTCTTGACCTCAAGGGGTTTCCTGCAGGAAGAAGCAAATGGGTTTGCTTTCCTAGCTCTGTCCAGTATCTTAGGGACCCTGAGGACTGAAGAGATTCTTGTAGAGCCATCTGGTGTATGTCATGGGTGGGCCTTTTTTGAATGTCAGTCTGCCCAGTGAGCTGGCTCAGCCTGAATGAACTGTCTTGAATCTTTGGAGTTGTCTGTGTACTTTTAAGGGTTTCTCATCCTTGCACCAAAAGATCCCCTGGAAATTAGGTGGGAAAACCTTAACTTTTGTGGGGCCTTTTGTTTGTCTTAAAAGTTCATGCACATGGCCAGGTGTGGTGGCTCCCACCTGTTATCCTGTCCTGGATCCCTTGAGTCAAGGAGTTTGAGACCAACCTGGACAATATAGTGAGACCCTGTCTCTACAAAAAATAAAATGTTAGCCAGGGGTGGTTGTGCACATCTCTAGTCCCAGCTACTACTGTGGCTGAGGTGGGAGGAGCACTTGATCCTGCACTGAGCTGTGAGCTCACCAGTGTACTCCAGCCTGGGCCACAGAGCAAGACCGTGACTCAAAAAAAAAAAAAAAAAAGACAGGAAAAATTCTTGAAGATTTTGCATTCTGTCCCACTATCTATTGGTTTTCATGTCAAGATAATGTCAGAAATTCTTTACAATTGCTTCCAGAAGGAGTAGCCTTTTGATCTAGTGCACAGGTGTCCAGTCTTTTGGCTTCTTAGGGCCACATTGGAAGAAGAATGCTCCTGGGCCACACATAAAATACACTAATGCTAACAACAGCTGATGAGCTTAAAAAAAAAAAAAGGTTTTTGCATAATTTTCATGATACCCACCACCACAGATAGGCGGAAAAGTCCTTGTAGTCAAAGGGTTGACACGGCTGATCTAGTGTCTGTCTGTTTTGGCTTTCTCCCTGATTCCAGAATGCAGGTAGAGATGTAGAGACATGCTCTCAGGACAGCTGTTGAGATAAAAAAAAATTCGTTGTCATTTATTCCCAAGCACAGCTGTTTCTCATTGCATTGAAAAAGTCTCCATTCAAACTGCTGTCACATAAAATCTATTTATGTAAGTCTGTATTTTTCTGTTGTCTTGGCCTTTGTAGGCAGTAGTGTGTTTTAACCGAGCAAACTATCCTTCCAAATAATGAAGCCGAAGTCAGCCTACCTGCTTGCCATTTTTCTTCCCCTTCCATTTTTGTAACCTCAGAATAATTGTAAGAATGAATTAAGATTTGTGTTTAAGGCCAGGCACAGTGTATCAGGCCTGTAATCTTAGCACTTTGGGAGGCGGAGACGGATGTATCGCTTGAGCTCAGGAGTTGAAGACCAGCCTGGGCAACATACTGAGACTCCGTCTTGTATAATTTAATTAAAATTTAAAAAAAGAAGAGAAAAAGACCTGTGTTTAAAATTTTAAAAAAGGGGGGAAAGTGTAATGCAAAATGTGGACTATGCCAGCTATGATTGGGAAAACTAGTTTTTCATACAGCATTATCTGTAGACTTGTATTAGCAGCACACTGGTCATAAGCGTTTTGCTTTCCTCAAATATGATGAGGTAAGCTAATTCAAAGTGTGTTGGGGCTTTCTGCCGCGTGGCTCCTGGAGGTGTTGAGTCCCAATTTAGCCAATTAATTTGGGTTTAGTTTTGATATGGATAAGGGAGACCAGCTTCATTCATGGTGTACACACAGTTTTGCCAATAAGGAGAAAAAAAAAGCCACCTGAATGTTCCTACTCAGAGCTCCTACCCCACCCCCACCAAGGCCCGGGCCATTAAAAAGACTCAATGCAGCCTTTCTGTATCTCATACTGTATTCTGCAAGGTACTCCTGTGAAAGAAAGTTGTGCTGCATCAGCCATCTCCCTCCTGAAGATCCCTGCGGATGAGGATTTGTGTTTTGAAGGTTCTGAGAATTCCTGCAACAACAATTCTCAAACTTATTTGTCCAGGGGATCTTTTCTTCCACTGAATGTAGTTGGGGAGACATGGCCTTAAGCCTTGAGCAGAGAAAGAGACAACTGTTGGCTCACTTACAACCAAGTGTTGTGTTTATGTTTTAGGTTTTTACGAAACTGAGGTGCTGTTTGAGGTTCTAAATGAAATTGGGTGGTTGAAGAGAGGCTGGTGTCCCTGTAGACTTAGCCAGCCATGAGAAGTTGCCTTTTGTTGAAGGAGGTGTTTTACAAAGGGAAATAGGGTGTCTCCTGGGCATCGCATTAGCACTTAAATACATGTATCACTGAAATGAAATGAAATGATGAAATGATGACATGAAATGGTGAAATGAAATGAAATAATGAAGTGAAATGATGAAATGAAATGATGAAATGATGAAATGAAAAGATGAAATGATGAATTGAGGAAATGATATGAAATGATGAAATGAAAAGGTGTAATGAAACGAAATGATTAAATTAAATGAGATTAAAAGATGAAATGATGAGATGAAATCATGAGATGAAATGATGAGATGAAATGATGAAATGATGAAATGGAATGATGAAATGATGGTGAAATGAAATGAAAAGATGAAATGATGAATTGAGGAAATGATATGAAATGAAATGAAATGATGAAATGAAATGAAAAGGTGTAATGAAACGAAATGATTAAATGAAATGAGATTAAAAGATGAAATGATGAGATGAAATGAAATCATGAGATGAAATGATGAGATGAAGTGAAATGATGAAATGTAATGAAATGATGAAATGGAATGATGAAATGAAATGATGAAATGGTGAAATGAAATGAAATGAAATGATGAAATGAAATGATGAAGTGAAATGAAATGAGAAGATCAAATGGTGAAATGAAGAAATGATATGAAATGATGAAATGAAGTTAAATGATTAAATGATGAAATAATGAAATGATGAAATGATGAATTGATGAAATGATCAAATGAAATGACGAGATGAAAAGATGAAATGAAATGATGAAATGAGATGAAAAGATGAAATGAGATGAGATGAAATCAGATGAAATGATGAGATGAAGTGAAATGATGAAATGATGAAATGACGAAATGCAACAATGAGAAGAAATGCTGAAATGAAATAATGAAATGAAACGATGAAATGATGAGATGGAATGATGAAAGGATGAAATGAAATGATGAAATGAGGAAATGAAATGATGAAATAAAATGATGAAGTGAAATGATGGAATGAAAAGATGAAATGATGAAATGATATGAAATGATGAGATGATGACATGACGTCAAATGATGAAAAGATGAAATAAATGAAATGATGAAATGATGAGATGAAATCATGAGATGAAATGATGAAATGAGATGAAGTGAAATGACGCAATGAAATGTTGAGATGAAGTGATGAAATGAAATGATGAAATGAAACAATGAAATGAAGTGAAATGAGATGAGATGAAATGATGAATTGATGAAATGAGATGAAAAGATGAAATGATGAGATGAAAAGATGAAATGATGAAATGATGAGATGAAATAAAATGAGATGATGAAATGAGATGAAGTGAAATGATGAAATGAAATGAAATGTTGAGATGAAATGATGAAATGAAATGAAAGAATGAGATGAAATGATAAAATGAGATGAAATGAAATGATGAAATGAAAGGATGAAATGATGAAATGAAATGAGATGAAATGAGGAAATGAAATGATGAAATAATGAAATGATGAAATAGATGAAAAATACTTATTCATTTTTTTTCTTGGCATCCTTCTAAGAGTATTTTAGTGTGGTTAATTTCTAAAAATAAGTTGCTATTCAATGGCTATACAGTTGGCCTTTGCTCCACAGGGGTTTGAACTGTGCACGTCCACTTAGCAAAACCAACAATTCTACATCCTTATCCACACCCTGCCTATGAAAAGGATGAGGATGAAGACCTGTTTGATCATCTACTTCCATTTAATGATTAGTAAATATATTTTCCTTATGATTTGCTTTTTTCTTTTCTCTGGCATGTTTGTTAAGAATACAGTATATAAGACATATAACATATTAAATATGGGTTAATTGACTGTGTTATTTGTAAGGCTTAGAGTAGTCTATTAGTAGTTAAGTTTTGGGGGAGTCAAAGTTATAGTGGATTTTCTACTGTGCAGGGGGGCCAGCACCCCAACCTCCGTGTTGCTTAAGGGTCAACTGTACATGTTATTTCCTTTCCTGTAAGAGAAAAATGATGAGAAGGTCTTTTCTCCAATAAGTGTATTCAAAATGTAGCAGATTTGAAATGTGTTGGCGCCACCATTTTGCGTCTCACTTTGAAAACTTATTATTTAAAATCGTACTAAAGCCTATCTTACTTTTCCAACATTAGAAAAAATGTTACAAAGAAAAGGGGTGAAACCATGCTAGTTTGCCCTGAAATTTGACCTTATCTTTTAAAAATATATTTTTACATTAATTACTTCCAAAATAGAGATCAGTTGCATACAAATGGCAGGTCACCGTAATCCACCCTATGGCTGCACTTAGATTCATGAGGAATTGTGCCAACTAGAAAGGGCAGAGAAGAGGAATAGGGTGCTCTGCGTCTTGAAATATAAACATGCACATAGCCACATTCTTTGATTCTCTTGTCACTTTGTACTTACAGCTAGGAAGAGGGCATGTTTGTGTATTTTTATGCTAATTATTATCCAAATTGTTAATGATTTACGCTTTCAGAACCATATAAAGATTTTTTTCCTTTCAGATATAAACTATCTTGCATTGTTCTTCTGATCATATGAGGAATAAATATGCCTAAATATTCTTCAGACCATAATATTATGTCCATATAAATGCCAGTAGCAAGAGTAGAAACAACCACAACTGCCTTTGTAATTATTTAAAGCACGTGTGCCTATAAGTAATTGGCATTTTATATAATCAAGAATCTTTGATATAATAATCTCTCAACTATTTGAAACATGGCTCACATGTATTAATTTTTTATGCAAACATATATATAATATCAGTGTATATGAAACTAAATTTTCGAGTTTAGAACAGCTTCTTAGAATCCTGACTTAAATGTCTAAAGTAATATTTGACTTAAAAAAATTTAGCACACTGTCACTATGATGAAAAAAATTACTATAAAATTATTTAAAAAATTTTTCCACCCTAACATTTAGAATATTCTCACATTCGTGGTTAAAACCTAATGTGATTGTTCTTAGAATTTAGATAAAAAAATGTTCCAGAAAGTTTGAAGAGAAGCACTTTAGTCAATTTTTAGTTGTTGAAGCATGAAGAAATGGCATTTCATTGACATTTTAAAAATTATTCAGATTCCCTCTTTGAATTCAAGTGTTTCAAAGATATCTTATTTTAAAATACCAAAATAGGAATAGAATATGAAGGGCTGGTTATGAGTAATATGATACATATTTATGAGAGGATGAGATTACAATAACAATACCTCCTCTCATAGAATAGCCAGCAAGTCTCCACTAAATAACAGTGCCTTGATTTTATAAATGCTTAATCATGGATATTGAGTTAATGTGAACCATTTGTAGACACAGGAGTTTATTAAAGAATTATATAATATCTTTCAAGTATTTAGAATAGTGTTGAAATTAAGCCTGCATCCCCACGATTTTCAGCGGTGCTGATGCCTAATAAACAACCCCTTGCATGCCAAAATTGGCTTAAAGGTCATCTGTTACCCAAGCTACACTTCAAGCATCAAGGTTCAAAAATGTGATTTTAAATATGCAAGAGTTTGAGGAATTCACTACTCACACGTTCTTGAACAGTCTATCCAAGTGCATCAAGCACAATGTGAGTAAAGAAATTTTGACCAAAGGATTGATAGTAATGTTGAATACATTTAATAGTAGATCTAAGATTAAAAGGTGAAAGTGAGGGTGAGAAGAGTGTATGAATGTTTTGTGTTCTGACAAAGAGAATGTAGCACCCAGGTCCTACCTGCTTGGATGCATTGCCAGTGCCCACGGTAGGCCATTTTATCCAGGTTTTTAGGTTTTGTTTTGTTTCGTTTTGTTTTTTTCTTTTCAGGAGAGTTAGTCCAAGACCAATAACTCCATAACTGGTAGATTTGGAAGACTTTAATACTGCTTAACATTTTGTACATAGCTTTATAACAGTTTTCTTTTTCTTTTTTTCTGAGAGATTCTTTTCAATATACCCCATCATGGTTGAACTCAAAAATCATTGCTTATTTAAAATCTACAACTGCTGAAGTTTTGTAACGTTCGCATTCCAGGTAATTGGTTTTTTGTGCATTTTCTGTATTTTTCTCCATCAGTCTACCTAGATATTTGTTAGATTTAATATTTTAATATTTTTCTGAAAAAGTGAGCTTTTGCATTTTTAAATATATACCCAGTTGCTTTAATTCTGTTTTTTTCGTGTACTATTTCCTCGTTTTTTTGTTTTGTTTTGTTTTTTTTTTGACACGGAGTCTTGCTATGTCGCCCAAGCTGGAGTGCAGTCGCGTGATCTCTACTCACTGCAATTTCCACCCCCCACGTTCAAGCAATTCTCCCACCTCAGCCTCCCGAGTAGCTGGGATTACAGATGCATGCCACCATGCCAGGCTAATTTTTGTATATTTAGTAGATAGTGGGTTTCACCATGTTAGACCAGGTTGGTCTCGAACTCCTGACCTCAGGTGATCCACCTGTCTCGGCCTCCCAAAGTGCTGGGATTACAGGAGTGAACCATGGCTCCTGGTTATCTCCTTCATTCTTTATTTTACTTGTTTTCTCTCTCTCTCTCTCTCACTGTTTCTCTCCTTCTCACATTCACTTTGCAGTTGTCAAATAGCCCAGGTGATGTTACAGATTGACTCCTTATAAAAGGAGGCATTACACATTACACATGCATCTTAGTGGCCTTAAAAAAGTGTTTGGTTTATTTGTATGGACTATTCACCTTTAAAATATTTCAATATTCATTAAAATAGCTTCCAACCAATATTATTAGACTTATGTTTCTAGCTTTCGTTTTTGTATTGATATCTGCCTTCATTGCTGTTTGTTTAGGAAGTATATTCTGTGTCACGTTATTTCCGTGAAAATTGTTTGAATTTGTGGTATGGTCTAGAAAATGTTAATTTTTGTAAGTATTCTGTATGAACAAGAAAATAACATGAATTATAATATTCATGTTCCTTATATAATATTTGCCCTTTTTAAAATCCACTAGCTTCTTTTAAAACTTACTCTTTTAATTTTTTCTTTTATCTATTATTGAAAGATGTGTGTTTGAAATGTCTATAATATTTGGGGGCTTATCCATTTCTACTTTCTGATATTTTTGCTTTATATAATTTGACTCTCTCTCTAAATACGTGTGTGTCTGTGTGTGTGAGAGAGTGTGTGGTTTGTGTGTATATATATATGTATGTATCAGGCTAATGCACATTTAAGTCATCACATCTTAATAACTTAAAACTTTTATCACACTGGTTAGACTAACTTATTTTAATAAATATTTCTAACTTACATTCTGTTTTGTCTACATAGCAACTTTTTAAAAAATTATATTCATGTAGTATGTTTGTATGTATATCATATATACACAGTATCTGTATTGTTCAAACTTCAAAGTTCCTGTAAATTTATATATTAGTTGCCTCTCTTGTAACTATGATAGAGACAGATGTTTTAAATTTTGCCAATCTTTGTATTTTAACAAAAACATTGTCTACTTAGGTTTAAGTTAATCTTTGATCATTTATACTTAATTTTGTATTATTAATTTGTTGTGTGGATATATATATATATATATACTGTCTCATTTTCTCCTATCAGTTTCTGTCTTCTTGTTTTAAAATTGTGACTTTTATTTTTATTGTTTTCCTAGATACAACAGAGAAATGCATAATGTCCAATCAATTTATTAAATTTCCAAAGTCGGTCACGCGCAGTGGCTCACACCTGTAATCTGAACACTTCAGGAGGCCGAGACGTGTGGATCACGAGGTCAGGAGTTGGAGACTAGCCTGACCAACATGGTGAAACCCCGTCTATACTAAAAATACAAAAATTAGCCAGGCATGGTGGCACGTGGCTGTAATCCCCGCTACTCAGGAGGCTGAGGCAGGAGAATTGCTTGAACCTGGGAGGCAGAGGTTGCAGTGAGCCGAGATGGCGCCACCGCACTCCAGCCTGGGAGAAACAGTGAGACTCCTTCTCAAAAAAAAAAAAAAAAAGTTGCAAAGTCATACCTTTCTGCTCTTGTCAGACAATTAAGGGGTCTTTGAATACTTCAGCCCTAATAATTTGCTTCCTAACATACATATTGCAGTGCTTATCTAATTTTAAATATCTTTTTGTTCCAACACCTAATTTTTTATTTAGATCTATCTGTATGTTTACAATATATTTTTCTCTGTGTTCATTCTTTGATTTCAGAACTTCAATCTTTCTGAAGCATGTTTTCAGAGTTTCTTTTTAGTTTCTTTAGTGGAATTCTGCTGGTGGTGTTTTGTTTTTTGTCTCTAAATATGTTATTTAGCCATAGGTTGATGAATATTTTTCTTGGTTGAGAATTTCAGAATGGCATTATTATTCTTAACAAATAATATTGTTTATTTTACCTTTCATGCTTTCAGATTTCAATATGATTAAAGGTAATTTGATTTTTCTAGTGCTAATTGAAATATTTTTCCCTGGCCGGGCGCGGTGGCTCACGCCTGTAATCCCAGCACTTTGGGAGGCCGAGGCGGGTGGATCACGAGGTCAGGAGATCGAGACCATCCTGGCTAACAAGGTGAAACCCCGTCTCTACTAAAAATACAAAAAATTAGCCGGGCGCGGTGGCAGGCGCCTGTAGTCCCAGCTACTCGGGAGGCTGAGGCAGGAGAATGGCGTGAACCCGGGAAGCGGAGCTTGCAGTGAGCCGAGATTGCGCCACTGCAGTCCGCAGTCCGGCCTGGGCGACAGAGCGAGACTCCGTCTCAAAAAAAAAAAAAAAAAAAAAAAAAAAAAAAAATTTTTCCCTTCCTGATTGTTTACTATTTCTCTAGGAGATATGTAGAGGTAGGTTTATCTCCATTGTAGCTTGCTTAGCATGCATAGAATTTTTGAATATGCGGATTAGTGTCTTACAAGAGTCTAGAGAACTTTCAGCCAAAATACCATCACATATTGTCCCTTCCCAGTTCCCTTCTTCTAAGAGAACCCTCACTAAACACATGCTACACTTTCTCACTGTATCTTCCATGTCTCTTCATGATTCTGTCCACATTGTGCATTTTTAAAAATTTTCTGTAATGCATTCTGAAATATTTATGAACTCTCACCATGGCCATGTCTAATCTGATGAGTTCATTTTTGAGTTTTTAATTTAAAATACTATATACAAACTACTTTTCCAATTTGCTACATCAATTTTTTAGTCTCCTAAAAATATATTCATTTTTTTTAAATTTTTTGAAATTAAATGAGCTTTATAATCTAACAGTGATATTTCTACTAATGAACCTTTGTGGATCGGTTTGTACTCTTTTTCTGCTTTCCTTTCAAATGGTAGAATATCATTTCCTTGCATACTTAGATGCCTTTGAATGACAAAGATTTATTTTTCTCTGAAAATTATTATTGTGCACTTTTGCATATTAGTAAGAAGAAAATTTGCCAAAGAGAATTTGAATTTGTTGTGAGTCTTCTAAAGGCATCACCATTCTGGGACCACATTATATTAATTCTTGGCCTAAAGGTGTTTGGACATATGTTTGGACTGCACATTTAAACAGTTTTTAAATTAATTGCTGTAAATCATTAATGATTGAGTTGCTTTAAATCTGTCCAATCTCAAGTCATTTTTATTTGCCATTTCCAGGGAATGTGAAATGGGACTAATTTACCTCTGATTCTTCTTTATACTGAGGATATAAATTTTGGTCCTAGCTTTAGGGAAGAGCTCCTGTGTGATGCCCTATCTTGGGAAAAACTATGTATTTATTTACTGTCCTATGTGATGTATGACAGTAGGAATCTGCACTCATTCATTTTGCTACATGTCTGTAGGGCAAAATCAGTTTCAGTGTTTAGGTGTATTTTGTCTGCTCCCTGCATTCCCATGGTTTTGACCTTATATTTTACTTTTTTTGTGAACATACCAGTGCTTCAAATTTTTTGCAGTAATATTTTCAACTATATTATGAGAAAGAGAAAAATTTTGATAAAACACAAATTTCATGTTTTCCTTCTCTAATTGGCTTTTACTTAAAAATACAGGTAAAATTTATTTGTGCTTTTTTGCTATTTCTGTTTTGCTATTCTCTGTTTGTCTATGTCTTCTCCACATAGACACAATTAGGGAATTTTGTACACTCTTGTGCCAACTGCTTTGATAGTAACAAAATGTATTTCTCGAACTCCTAGGTATAAAACTCAAGTATCCACAATTTAAATTCTTTTTTGCTCACTTCTGTTACATTTCCAGTCTCAATAGAAATCGATGCCAATCCAGAAATACAAGCATTATTCTAATACTTCTCACACATTACTGATATAGATTAAATTTTCTAGATCTCCTTAAATACTATCATTTTTCACTACTTGTATCTTAACTGTTAAGTTCAACATTTTCTATAATATTAATATGTTGTGAAAATTTCCTTACTTTCTTACTTTTCCCAGGTTCAATGTTTTACAGTCTCTACCTCACCCTGTGAAGCATAAACATTGTACATGCTGTACAAATAATACATAGTTCATGTACTTAGAGATTGCACGATTTTTATTTGGTTGACAATAGCTAATGTTTTCTTCTTCATTTTCTATTTCCTGATTTTTCTTTATTTAGTATATACTACATTATCATAAAAATAAGAACGTTTTACAAACTAAAGCAAAAGCAACCCTAGGAATAAAATGCACAAATAAAATATATAAACATACATTTAGATGTACCACGTACCCTTGTAATTTATTTAGACAATTAATTCTAGTACAATTTTAATTAGTCTGTGTATTATCTGTCATCGTCTTAGTATTTTTTATATAACAAATTTTGTAAATCAAAAAGTCTCAATGTCATTATAAACTATCTTGGCAGAGGTTGATCTCCAAGGAATAATTTCTCTCCCAAATTATGCCAATCAGAATTTCACTCTACCATAATTCTTTTAATGAGTTTCAGAGGAATAATAAATTTCAAAATTGTTCAAGGTACTTCTTTTAGTTCAAGTACCTTTTGACAGGTGTAAAACTGTAGACAGACTGATACAAACATATTCTAATTGACTCAAAATTATATGGGACCTATTTTAAAATCTAGATTTTAAAATGTCTTGTCAACATACACATGGTTTCCTTGTGAAATAATTGCTTTTTATTCTCTGGATAGAATAATTTAATCTTTAAACATTCAATTCTCTGTTAGAAACAAAATATTACATAAGGATATGCTTATAAAAATAATTCCCAACTAGATTTTCAGTTCAGAAATATATGTGAAAAAATCATCAATTATCTAATGGATTTCAAGGAGAAATGGGTTAGTAATTTATTCCATATGTCTCAATTTTTCCTAGACTCAAGGCTTCCTTTAAAATAATTGTAGGCGTTTAAGAAACCATGTAAACTAAAAAGAAGAAATTGTGACACTGCCGCTTAGGTTTTTTAAATCTTTGGACATGATTCAATATATTTTTTAAATTGTACCTTAATTGGACATTGTGAGTTCACCATCTTCCTGTCAGTATTGCATCCAAGCTGATTATCATAGATTAGAAGTTCAACTATCAACTGTGTTCTGAGAGTCTAAAAAAATAAATGAACGTATTTGTTTGGGTATTCTTAAAGCAGGAGTGAGGACACAGTGAAAGTGAGACAAGGAAAAGAGAACAAAATAAAACAGGAAAGAGAGACAAGCCAATACCACACGTGTTAAGAGGTAAGTTCCTGTGTTAGATATCTGGGCTTAATTTTATGGGAAGCTATGTGGAGCATGCCTCAGAATTACATCACTGAATCCAGGGAGATTCTTCTTAGATACCCTCACCTTTTCTTCCCACTTCATGTCCAGTCACAAGCTCCCGTGCTGCTAGAGAAAGTCCTCAGCTAGAAACAGGTGCAAATTCTGGAGATGAGACCTTGTAGAGTGTTAAGAATGGTTTTCTTCCCAGCAGCTACAGGTAAGGAATAGGGGCTGGGCTATTAATACATCTGCTACAAACCAATGAAGCCCTTATGCTCCTTTTGGTGATCGAGAATGTGTTTAAAAATATTAGATGATCAAGAAGGGCTGCAGAAAGGAGGAAACAGAAACAAACAGCACACCTCTTGGTTTATTTTTATTCATTTCATCAGTTTCAAGGAAAATATGTTGGGAGTTCCTGGCATAGAGAATGTCACAAAGACATGTTTTCAATAGTAGTGCTATCCCTAGGGCAAAGAAGACCCAGAGAAAGCCCAAATGGCTGATGGAACAAAGTCAGACACCGTGCCACCTGTCCACACTCCTTGGCTCTGCCATCATGCTGAAGATCGTTTTAAAGGACTGGCTTCCCTCCCCCCAAAATTAAAAGAGCACAGACTGAGAAACTGAATGTAGGAGACAGCAGTGGATTATGCTGTTCTCAGGGGTCACCTCAGGTTTGGAAGCATTCTTTCAAATTAACCCATCTCAGGCCATCTGCAGAGAAGAAAGGTGGTACCTAACTTTTTTTCTTGTCAGCATTTGGTAGGGGTGTTTTATTGACCAAATATGTTCCCACAACCTGGTTTTTTGTGACTAAGTAAATATAGTAGATTTTTAAATTTTATCATCAAAATCTATAGACAATTTTTGATTAAAATAGACTCCATATCTATGTCCTGCTTTTCTTCTTATTATTAATTACATTGCTGTATAAAAGAACAAGACTTCAGAATCAAGAATATCTTGTCTCTTCGCATTGAATTTATATACAAGGTGCTCTTTCTTTAATGCTGTCTCAAAGGACATATTTTTACTCATTAAAAAGGAAGATCGGAATCTGGTTGTATGCACTGCTCCAACATATTAATAATTAAAATTAAGAGGTAAATGTGGTCAAAGCCATAGAAAGACTGAGATGTCATTTATATTGATTACTCTATAGCACTCTACAAACAGAAATTGTGAAATAAGTTTATATAAATATTTTGTAGCATTTCAAATATTTGAGTGCTTGAAGTTTCTCCTCTTATATAGTTCAGATTATCAATTTGAAAACTTACTCCGCTAGTTAATATGTTTTTAGTCTCGTTTGAGTATTATATAAAAGCAATTTTCAGTTAAATGTGTTCCGCTTACATAAAACATTACAAATTATTGAGGATTTAATTACTTATTCATGTTCCTGTAATGTCTTTAGAAGATTTTCTTCTTATTACCTATCAATATATGTATGCTTTGTCAAAGAAAAATCAAACATATATATCATTGAAATTGAAACTTTTTAAAAGTACTTATTAATTCTATTGAAAAACCACATCCATAGGAACAATTACAATATAATATTGTGAACATGTAAACATATACCCTATGTCTATTTTATGTATAATCATATATGATTAAAAATATAGTTAAGAATTTTTAAACCTAGTATTATCAAGTAAAAATTAGTTAACTTCTGATGATTGTTAATTAAGATAAAATTATTTTGATTTGGGTGATTTTAAATAAAGAAAAAAATTACATGACAAAAATTCTTTATAAAATGTTTATGATTTTTACATTGGTTTTATCACTTTATTCCACTATTTTATTTTAAGATGACCAGCCTTGTTTAAAACACTGTATTCATCTTAATTAAATTAAATTCCATTTGTAAAAAAATTAACAAATGATTTGCTCTATTATACAGTGCGGTTGTAAACTGAGTCAGTATCTCAAGGTTTGACCCCCATTATCGTCATCCGTGGCCCTATTTGTTTGATAAATGTATTGTCTTTTTCCATGCCTGTCGCATCTCTATTGCTCTTTCATTTTTCTCTTTGTCCCTTATAGGGAGCATTGCCTATCTCTAGATTAAGCAAAAGTTGCATCTTAAAAAAGCACAATAACCTGCTCAATCTTTCTCACACAGAGAAATGTTTGTTAAGTAATTAAAGTGTAGATGATGATACAAAGAGCTTGATTAAATTAGATGCCAAAGTACCCTTGTGATTCAGAATATGAATGGTATTTAATTTCTTTGAAATCATTAATTGCTGAGTGACATTAATTAATGCCAATATTCCAGAAGTTGTTCTAGTTAGTGAAATGTATGCAACATGCAAAAGATTCAGAACTCTGAAGGGCAACATTATTCTATAATTAAGAATTAAGAATTAATTCACATTAATTATTGGGGAGAAATAATTATTAAGAATTAATGATTGAGAAAATGTTTTTATTTTTTATTTAGAAAATTATTTTGTACATGAGCATTACCGCAAGTTTTGCAAGAAATATAAATTTAAAGAAACAATTATGTGCACAAGGTGAATTTAATAACATCTTGATATTTTCCACGATTACAGTTTTATTTGGTAAATCTATAAAAGCACATCTTCTAAAGATAATAAATGAATCTTGGAAATCTTGTAGGTAAAGGTAAATATTAGGATGCATCCAATTACATTTACACACACAGTTACATTTACACACACATACATGCATACAGACTGATACACGTGTGTGTATATATATATATATATATGAATTTACTAATTGATTTTAACTAATATTTATAAGAGCCAGTTGGATTGATATATATTGTTGAACCTGAAAAATATTTATTATATACATGTTTAAAATACACACAGAAATAAATAGTAATTGCACCAGACATTTGAAACTGTACTAAAATATAAGCTGTGAACATTTTGTGATCATTACAAATTCTTACACTGAATATTTTTATTTTTACAATATTAATATGTTTGATATCTGTGTACATTTTTTACAATGTGTTATTTTATTTTTGTCATAGAGTCTTGTCATGCATAATAACATTTCAGTCAAAGATGGATTACAAATACAAAAGTGGTCCATGAGATTATAATACATATTTTTACATACTTTTCTACGTTTAAGTATGTTTAGATACATAACCTCTTACCACTGTGTTCTTATTGCCTGCAGTATTCAGTACAGTAAGGTAGTACACAGGTTTGTAGCCTGGGAGAGAGAGGCTATACCATATAACCTAGACGTGGTAGGCTGTACAATCTAGGTGTTTGTAATATTCCCTGTGATGTTTGCAAAATGATGAAATTGCCTATGGATGCATCTGTTAGAACGTATCCCTATCATTCAGTGATGTGTGGCTGTACTAAAATGCTCAATGTAAGTTTCAATGCCCTCCATAAAACTGTTGTACTGTGAAATACAAATCTCTCACCCATGGCCTGAATATGTTTGCAAACTAAGCAGATCAGGGGAAGGAGAATGTGCTGGCATCGCTGGGATGATTTTCTCACACTACATGAATAATATCTACAGACTTAGCGCATATGAGCCACTTGCATAGAGTTAAAGTAGGCATCTCTTTGCTGGGAAATTTATCAAATGGGAGTATGTAGTGTTTTTAAAAGATACTTGTTTGTTTGTAGCTGGTAGGCATACAGTGGCTCATGGCAATGGTTAAGGTTGCTAAGATTTGGTGGAAGAAGGCAAAATGAAATGGCCACTTATATGGTATATGGTATATGGATCACTTGTTTCTGTTGAGTTACAGACTCAGCTGGCTATTTCTCCCAATGTTAGTTATTTGGAGAAAAAAACGTGATGGTAATTTTGGAGTAACAAATACAATATTTGATGAAAGCAAATTTATTGAGGGTTAGACAAACTACAAGATACTTTAAGCTGCAAAGTCAACACGAGACTTCTGGCCCAAATTGTGCAGAGTTTGCGTCCAGCTGCAAAGTTCAAAGGAAGAGGCCATATAAGACGATTCTCACTTCTGACACCAACTGCCAGTTCAGGGGTTTCCCCTGAACACACTCAGTTTCAAGAATTTACTAGAAAGACTCACAGAACTCATTGAATGCCATTGTACTTACGGTTTATAATAGAGAAAGGGTAGAAATTAGGACCAATTGGAGAGACATATCATATAAGGTGGAATCTAGGAGATTTTGAATATTAAGTTTCCATTGTCTTCAGGACATACTACCTGTAATTGTTGTACAGCAATAAACATGGAGTACTACCAAGCTGGGGAGCTCACCTGATGCTAAAAAGACACTATTTAGAGAATGAAAAGACAAATGAAAGGATGGGATAAGATGACCTTCCACATTAAGGCACTGGAAAGAATAAAAAACTAAACCTAAAGCAAGCAGAAGGAAGAAAATAAAAATTAGAGAAATTAATAATTTATAATAATATTTGTTAGTGTTGAATAATTGATATTAATTCTTGACTAGCTTTTTTAAAAAGAAATATTCACTTCCCAATTTACTCTTTGGGGCCAGTGTTACCTTGATACAAAAATTAGTCCAAATAGCATAGAAAAATAAAACTACTATAAGTATAAATGCAAAATTCCTTAAAAAATACTAACAAATCAGAACTAGCAACATATAAAAGAATTATACACTATGACAAAGTGAAATTTATACAAGTATTCCCAGGTTGGTTTAACAGCCCAAAATCCATTAAGGTAATACATCTTATCCATAGAATAAGAAACGAGAATTGCATGATCATCTCGATAGATTCGGAAAAGACATTTAACAAAATCCAAATGCTTTAATGATTAAAAATAAAAATAAAAACTCAATGAACCAGGAATAGAGAACTTTCTACACCAGATACATGACACCTGTGAAAAGCCAACAGCAAGCATGCAACTTAATGGTAAAGGATGCTTTCCCGCTATGGTCAGAGATAAGAATAGGATATATAATTTGACCTCTTCTAGTCAATACTGTACTAAAGATTTTATGCAGGGCAAATCGGCAACTAAAAAAATAAGAGTCATCCATATTGAACAGGAAGAAATAAAACTGAAAATAACATTCTTGTATATAGAAAATGTTAAGGAATCCACTGAACGATAGAACTTGTAAATTATTTCAGCAATATTACAGCATACAAGATAAATGTACAAAAATCAATTGCACACATCTACAATGAAAACCCCAAAATGAAATTAAGAAAACACTTCAATTTAAAATAGCATCATAAAAAGAAATAATAATTAATTTGGAAAATGTGATACAAGATTTTACTCTGAAAATTAAAAATTATTGTTTAAAGAATATCTAAGTAATTAGCAAACATCTTACAGCCATGAATTGGAAGATTTAATACTGTAGTACTTTACAATTTGAACTACAGATTTGATGAAATCCCTGCAAGTATTCCAACAGACTTCTGTCTAGAAACTGACAAGCTGATTCTAAAATACACATGGAATTGTAAGGGACTCAAAGTAGCCAAAATAATCTTGAAAAAAGAAAACATATTAGGATAATTCACACCCCCATGCTCCAAACCTTACTGCAAAGTATCAGTAATCAAGACAACAAAATACTGATGAAGGAAAAATATATAGATTGATGGAAGAGAATTGAGAGTCCATATATAAAACTATGTGTCTATGGTCAATGGATTCTTACAGTGGTGCCATGTGCAATTCAATGAGGAAGAGACAGTCTTTGAACAAACTGGTTCAACAACGTACACGTGGATCACCACTTGCAAAATAATAAATTGGAACCCTTACCCCAAAGCATACAAAAATATTAACTCAAATGAATTAAAGACACACATGCAAGAGCTAGAATAAAACATATGGGAAAATCTTCAGCATTTTGGATCTAGCAAAGAAATAGCTGTAACATCAAAAACATGAGCAACAAAATAAAAATTAGATATTTAAAATTTCTTAAAAATTAAAGACATTGGTGTTTCAAAGGACAACCAAGCAAGTCAAAAGGCAGCTCAAAAATTGTGAGAAGATATTTGAAAAACACGTGTCTATATGTCTGTATATATATGTATCTTGAATATAGAAAAATTGTTTTAACTCAGTAACAAATATCCCAACTCAAAACTGATAAATGATAGGAATAGATGTGTTTCCCAAGAAGATACACGAACGGCCAATAATCCCATAAAAAGATACTCAATAGCATCACTCATCAGGCAACTACAAATCAAAACCACAGTTAGATACTCTATGGCTAGAACTGGCCACTTTGTAAAATAATTTGATGGCTTCTAAATATATTAAACATAGAATTGTCATATGACCCAGAAATTTATTCCTAGGTATACACCCAGATTATTGGAAAGAGGTGTTCAAACACAAATTGTACATAAGTATTTTTAGCAGCAATATTTAAAATAGCCAAAGGCTGAACACAACTCAAATGTCAATAAAAATATTATTGGATAAACAAAATGTTATATCCATGAAATTGAATGTTATACGGTTATAAAAAGAAATAAAGTACCAATACGTACATGAACCTTGATAGCATTATGCCAACTGAAAGAAGCCAGGCAGAAAAGGCCACCTATTGTATGATTCTATTTAGATGAAAACAGAATAGGAAAGTCTATAGAGACAGAAAACAGATTTGTGGTTGCTTAGGATTGAGTAGGGGATGAGTGTATAGGATGTTAACAGCTAGAGAAGGTGGGGTTTCTTTTTGAAGTGATGAAAATGCTCTAAAATTCATTGTGATGATGGCTCCACTTATCTGTGCATATACTAAAAGCCACTGACTTGTAGACATTAATGTGTGCACTCTACACTATGTAAATTTTATCTCAATAAATCCTTTCAAAAATACACAGAAGAGTAAGGGGTTTTGGAAAGTTGCAGCTGGGAGGCAGTTTGAAATACTGAATAGGCCTCATCGAGAATGTGAAGTTTCAGTAAAGACTTGAGGAAGTTGAATGAGCTGATCAATGGATATATGGAGGGCTATCTTTCCAAGCCAAGAAATTAACTAGAGTCTTGGTCATAAGGCAGCAGAGTGTTGGCATGTCCAGAGGACAGTGAGGTGGCCAGGACCACTGGTAAGATCAAGGGTGAAGATATAAAAGAATTTTGGCGGTTAACATGCGGCAGATCATGATGGGGTTGCAGACCATTGTAAGAATTGTTGTTTTTAGTGTACATGAAATGGGGAGACAAATCATTATCCCATTATCAATATTTTAATAAATTGGATCCATGAACCAAATGCAATGAGATTAAATCAATTAGTAATAATATGCAAATTTGTATTAAAATTACAAGAATTATTTGCACATTTGAGAACAGGAGAGTCATGATTGTTTATCAGCAATAATAAACATTATTAATTTTAATTGTGATCAGCTAATTGAGATTAATTGCAATACATCATGCTTTATAATGTGACTGTCAAAAGGAAAGTATGATTGTAATCTTATACTACATCTATCAATGCCTTTGATTCATAAGACTATAGAGTAAGCCCCTAGTTTTCAAAGCCAACTTATGAGGCAGTGACATCTTATGCAAATTTGCTGCTTTCTGCCACAGTGATCCTTGGTCAGCTGGCACAAATTGTTTTACAAACGCCCCTAGGTCTAAAAATAGTTTGGATCACAATGAACACAGAAACACCGTCATCCCTTCAGAAATACCTATCAATTACTTCCAATACAGAATGAAAAATTGACAAAGGAAATATGTGGATTGTAAAAATGCCAGTTAGCTTGCATCTACATCAAAGAAAAATGCCATTTTTATTACATTAGATCATTGTTTTACATGAGTTTTGGTATAGCACAATGTTGAACCAAGGGCAAAGAGAGATGAATTAATGATATCTTGATTAAGATATCAAGAATTTGAAAGAAAAGGCAGGTCATCTTTGAAGGTTAGTGACATAGCATTCATCTTCTGTTGTCACCTTTTCCATCATGCCCTGTATGCCTGATGGACAGGTTTCACTCAAGTTCAGAGAACAGCATGCAAAATTAGCTACCAATTAATCTTTATGAAGTGAGCTGCATTTCCTGCCAGACTGAGCTTACGTTTTAGCAGGAAGCATTTTTGGGAAATGTTTATGTTAGAGTTTGCCCTTCTTGACAAGGTGAGACATAAATGTCTACTTTATAGACATGAATTAAGATGGGAAGATATTTGGGGGAATCATTTACTCAAACGCTAAATAATAAAGGTACACAAAGGGCAAATTATACTAGATTTCTTTCCCACTTGTTTTGTATGTCTCATGCAGTTCACCTTGATTCCCTTCAGTTTCTGTTTAATGTAGAAAGTGGCATTTTCATTATTTTAAGCTTCTAGCACAATGAAAGAATTTCTCTTTTTCATGAACAGGATCATAAATGAAAGGGAGGAAGAGTGTCCTATATCATATTTATTGTTCAACAAAACGCTACTCCATGGCTTAAATTCAGTTTAAAAAAGAGAATTTATTGGACATCTAACACATACATAAAAGATAGTAAAGACAAATGAGAAGAGCGCAGGATATTGAAGTATACAGATTTCAATGCTGAGTTTTATATCTTAGGAAGCTACTCCACCTTACAGAGGCTCAATTTCCCGTGATTTAGGAAGGCGATGCTAATGGGTATTGCATAGGTGTAAGTATAAAAATCTTGTATTTAAGAGAATCCCACAAGCTTGGTATAAGGCAGAAAATAAATAGATGTGACATGAATAAGTAGTTTATTACATTTGTATTCTACCTGCGGACTAGAGGAAGCAAGAAACACAGCCACTATGCTTGATTAGCATTACAGAGATGGTACAATGATGGTTGCCAGAAGCTGGGGGGAGGAAGAAATGGGGAAGTATTTTTTAATGGGTATAGAGTTTCAGTTTTACAAGATGAAACGAATTATGGAGATGGATGGTAGGGACGGCTGCACAATGTTATGACTCTATTTAGTACCACTGAACTGTACACTTAAAATGGTTAACAGAGTACATTTTATGTTATGTGTATTTTACCACAATAAAAAAATAAAATACCTTAGGAACATTTTCATGAAAAAGCCCACATAAAATTCATTTTAATGCACGTGTTTATGCGTAGCTTTGTATTTTTCTCTTTTCTCTTTATCTTCCAAATTCTAATCAGAGAAGGGAATCACCTCTGTACCTCCAGGATATTCAGTAAAGACCACTGGAGTTTCATGCCCTAGTGACAGTGCTCATATAGCTCCAAATTACAGATGGCTCTAGACTAACTCCACAAAGTTTAAAGAGAAGATTTAAAACAACAACAGACAAATACTCATCCTGAAGTTACTGAACTGCCTGCCACAACATTGTTCAAAGGTAGCCAATAAAATCTAGATAGTCAATAGCATAACATCAAAAAAACCCCCCCCAAAAAAACTCTGACATGCAAAGAAGCCGTAAGATATATATACTTAAGACATATATTAACAGGATAAAAATAAGTCATTTATAAATGACAGAAAAGAAGGAAATTTCAAGGCCCTTAAAGTAAACATATTTTATAAATACATATAGGTAAATACATATATATGTCAAGGCACTTAAATGAAAATTGAACATAGAAAAATAGAAGTTATAAAATGAAAAATGTGACATGTATAGATGAAAAATAAATATTAGAAATAAAAATTCCATGAGATAGAATAAGTAATGGATTTTACCCAAACATCAGAAAATTTATAGAAAAAAATAGAAGATTTACAAACTAAAGGACAAAGGGTAAACTAAAATAAGAAAGCCAGAAACTCACTGATACATCAGACAATATGCAGCAGTGTAACATACATGTAATTAATATCTCAAAAAGGATGGGTGGGGGAATTATAGGTGAATAAAGAATGGTACACTCATTCCTGAGGGCACCGAGGAGGGAAGATAGCTTTAGATTTCTAAGGGAGGGTATTATCCATTCATGAAGGTCCAACCCCATGACCAAACACCTTCCAGTAAGCCCCACCTGCAACATTGGGGATCAAATTTTAACATGAGATTGGAAGGGGCAAGCATTCAAACCATAGCAAGAATTAAATTTCCTTTTTAAAAAAATCACTGATATGATTCCATTTTGCCATAGATAAAAGCTTGTATTTCAGCCTACCATTGAGTGTGCTTATAGCTCACCAAAAGGGCACTCTGTCTCGGGAATACAGATTTGCCTAGAGGTATCCTATTGCAGTCAAAGAAAGAGCAATGAGGGATAGAAAAGGTTAGTGATGGAGACACCAGCGCTGCATTTTGCAACAAACAATGTAAAAATTTTACGGATTGGTTCTGCTAACTTACTACAGTTTGCATTCCTCTCAGGTGGGAGAATTGTTGCGTTTTTTTCTTAAGATAGAAAAGCAATTCAGATAATCTGAAATCTCCACAAGAAGGAAAAGAAGCACAGCAGAAACTATTCTAGGCAGGAAGTCAATCCTTTCAACAGTCTGTGCTCCATAGAAACAATTGTCTGCACTGGAAGTCATATGAGATACAGACAACAGCCAGAACTCTGATCCTCTCATTAGTGATTTCAGAAGAAATTACCAGTCAACTGAGTAATTCACTGAGTAAACATTTGGCACTGAAAGAGGTTAGACGGATAACCATTTGTATCACCATATTCATGAAGCTGGAATATTTTCCATTACTGGTATCACATCCGAATGGAAGATGTTAAAAAGTCTCTCGTCTTGTAAGATGGATATGAAAGAACATTTTCTGGGAAATGAAATTATTAACACACCTGCGAGGTGGATGGAAGAGAAAAAAAAGAATAATCAGCTGGAGTTCTTCTCCTTGATAAGACAACTCACTAAAAACATAAAGAGAAAAATACAAGTTTAAAATAATTAACCAGAAGAAGACGACTCAAGAGTTTTTAAATTGCTGATAAGATTTTAATTTGCTCCAAGTTGAAAATAATTATATTGCTTGTGTTTTAAGGCCCATAATGAGCAATTGTATCACACATGATAGTTTCAGCAGTACAATATTATCCGTTAACTGCTGGAAATCATAAAAGCATAGCACAATGTGAAGATGGAATTTGCTAAAATAAACCATCTGCTGAAAACTACTATTCTGCAAATTTAAAAATAAAGTTTAAATGTTATTGGTCTTATTTAATAGGTCTGTAAAAAAATGCGCTATTTGAAAAGTAGCTGCTACCTTAATTAATTCTTCATATTAGACGGCTGGTTACAGTAATGCACAGTAAGGTGCTACTTAGATATATTGCTAAATTTTCTGCATATACTATGTATTTGGCTTAAATTATTTGAAATTTTATAGTTAAAATAACAAATGTATATTTCAATGTTTTGACACAATTTGCAAATATACCTTTAAAGAGCGTCTTACACTCTAAATATTATTTGTCACCTACATATTTGTCTTTTCTCTATAGGAAAGTTTAAATTTTTCCCTTGAAGCTTTAATTATTTGAGTCTATAAAACAAACTGATAATGTACAAATTAACAGAAAAAAGGTTTACAGATATGTGTGCAAGTATGCACTTGCAGTTTACATAATATATAAAAATATAACTATACAAATATTTGTATATTATAAATAGATATACAAATATATGCTATATATATAAAAACTCCAGGAAAGGCAAGGTAGTCAACACGCCTATGCTGTCTTGACGTTACACAAAACACAGAGCTGTAGGTTGGTAAATCAGGCTTTGCGGAAGACAGGTGAAGACAAGGAAGAAAGAGGAGCCTGACAGCAGAGGTGGTCTTGTTACATGGATGAAACCTCACAGGGAGCAGCCCTCCTCTTGGGAAGTATAGATAGGAATTGGTTTTTAGAAATGTAAACATGCCAGGCTCAGTTAATCTTTCCTAAACCCAGACAAGGGAGTATCTCAGGGAAAGCCTGTCTACATCAATGCAGATTTTCTCTACAAATGCAAATCTCCCCAACAAACACAGCTTTTCAGCTATTCTTGTAGAAGGAGCTATCTCCAGTCTTCCGAGTAGCCATATTGAAATATGTCAAAAAGCTGCCCAGGTGCATGCCTGTAATCCCAGCACTCTGGGAGGCTGAAGTGGGTAGATCACCTGAAGTCAGGAGTTGGAGACCAGCCTGACCAACATGGTGAAACCCCGTCTCTACTAAATACAAAAAATTAGCCGAGTGTGGTGGTGCATGCCTGTAATCTCAGCTACTTGGGAGGCTGAGCTAGGAGAATTACTTGACCCTGGCAGGCTGAGGTTGCAGTGAGCCAAGATTGTGCCATTGCACTCTAGCCTGGGCAACAAAAGCAAAACTCCATCTCAAAAAAAATGTATTTTAGGGTAATATTTTGAGTATCTTTACCTCCATATGTACAATAAATATTATTGTGATTTTTAATCTTTTCTGTGGAGAAAACACAGGTGTGATTTCTAGTGTAGCTGAACATCGTTTATTTGACAATATTGCACTTGTGTGTGGGTGTGTGCGTGTGTAGCTACTCTTTAATTTTGTTCTTACATAATTATTAGATATTAACAATTAATTCAGTAAAATATATGTTTTGCAATATTTCTCCATGTTATTATGCTTTAAATTAGTTTAATCATGCCCTTATAATGTGTACATTTTAACCTTTGACTATAGGTCTCAATCTTACTTTGGTTTTTGTATTTGAATTTATGCTAATAAAGTCCTACAGCTAAAATAGATTATATAAACTTATCTACATTTTTACTAGTATTCTGGTGTCATTTTAAATTATGTAATGAAATCAAATTTTAATTTGGATTATTGTTATCTGAGTTAAGGATCTAAATTTTCAATTTCTTACAAATACTACATAATTATTTCTGAAACATATATTGACTAATCTCCCCTTTATATGATGTGCATTATAAGAGCTTGGGATTGTTTCATTTGCAAAGATGAATGCTTGAGAAGTAGATATTTAATCATAACATTTTAAAATCTACTGGATAACCTAGAATTGAAAAATAGCCTATAGGTTGAAAAACTCCTGTAGTGAAGAAAGAAAATAACTAATATACAGTGACAATATAAATATTATAAGTATTTATTTTATTATCGCCCTGAAATTTGATAATACAAACATGTAATATCTACATATCATCCATATATCAGGTAAGAAAAAATCAATGCACTCTTCAAAAATTTAGCATAACAGAAAATGCACTCTCTCTCCTTGATGGAATTAAGTTACAAATAAAAGTAAAAATAAGTAGATAAGTAGATGGAAGTAGATGTTTAAAAACAAAGAAAAATATTTGTTTTGGATAACATAAAATCTCAATTGACAATTCCAATATTTCCAGAACTTTGGCTGTCAACTGGTGGAGAGTTTTCCCCAGGAGACATTTGTCAATGTCTAGGGTTATTGTGGGGATGTCAAGACTGGTGGAGGTGTGAAATTTAGAGGTCAAACGAAACACCTAGCATTGCTAGGGCAGCCTCCCACAACAAATAATCCTCTGGTCCTAAAGGTAAGTAGCACCAAGGTTGAGAAACCATAATCTAGAGAGTAAACACTATGTAGCTATTCCAAGTGCTCAGGAAAACACATCAGTGCTCTCGAGAGGAAAAGTGTAAACATTTTAATTGCTGTACATGGTGACACAAATCCATGTTGTTAATCTAAGTGGAAGGGGCTGAAGCACAAAACGTAATTCAAAGAGTTTACTTGAGCCACAATGAGGACCGCTGCCTGGAAGAAACAGACCCAAGTATCCTTGGATATGAACTCCCTTTGGAGCTTTGCAACAAGCAGTTTCTTAAAGGCAAAAAAGGGTCCAGAAGTGGGATGATGCAAAGAGGTTTGTCACAAATTCTCATTGGCTTATGGAAATAACATCTATTAGTGATTGGCTATACACTGTTACACTATTATTGGGTGTGGATTATAGTGTCTGGTGTGGCTTTATTGGTTAATTTATAGCTACTGTGGTAACAGCGGCAGCCTAGATGAACACACAGCTCAAAGAGGAGCAGGACAGAACTGCTGTCTCATTTGAATATCTCTCTGGGCCTGATTATTTCAAAGGACTTGCATTTCTCATATGAAAGTTATTTTCTTTTCTCAAGGTCCATAAATGAGAATAAATAGACGTAAAATAGATCTTTTCGAGGATGAAGTAAATAGAATGAAAAACAAAACCCAAGCTGACCAGAAATCATAGAGGGAAGAAAAGGTTATAAATATATGGATTTTTCAAAGTGATTTTAAGCTATTAGGAATCAGTTAAATGTTGGGGGATTTTGTCTGAGAATGGGCTAAAGGAGAATGTCCCTTTTGCCTTCTGAAGTTTCCCTGAAAATCACTAATAGGAGGCAGATAAATAGTAGAAAAGGCATACAGGTTTCTGCAATGTGTGTACACTGGAGCCCTTAGAACGAAGACCCAGACACACGATGCATGCAGAAGCTTATCTACCACATGAAGTTTACAGAAAGAATGGGGTCTTGGATCACAGGGAAAAAAAAAAAAAAGGTTATGTGAGAAAACGACCCTGGCTAGCAACAGTGGACTTATTACATAGGTGGAACCTCACTGGGAGCAGTCCTCAGAGAGAATAGACAGAAAATGTTTCTTTCAGACCTTTGGAGACCTCAGACTCTAAGTTAACCCTTCCTAGATCCAGACAAGGGGGCAAAACTCAGAGAAAGCCTGGCTGCATCAAGGCAGATTCTCTAACGGTGCAAATCTCCCCAAGACAGCTTTGCAGCTAAGTCTGCATTTCCAGCCCTTCTCAATAGCCATTTTGAAATATATCAAGGAAATATATTTAGGGGTAAAATATATTAGTTTCCTTCATACAGCTATAAAACATACAGGAATAATTTTTGTCAATGTCTACTACAAATCCAATATAGCAGTAAATATAAAACCCACCAGATATTGAAGAAAAAATATGTAGAGTACCTCAATTGCAAATGTTGATACTAAAATGCCAAATAAAATAAAAATAATTTCCAACAATATTTGAAACAGTAACACAAGAAATTGGCAAAAAAAAATAAAACAAATATCCACCTTGGGGATGAAAGTGTGTTTCCAAATTTGGTAATCCAATAATATTAATAATCATATTGATTAGCCCAAATTAAAAATAAATAGTGGATTCTCAGTACATGCTAAAATATATTTGTTAAAAAGCAATATTCATGTCTTTAGAGATTTTAAATGCTATAAAGAGTCTGATATTCTATAGGCAAACATGTGTATGTCCATTAGAAGAAGAGAGGTCTGATTTTCATATATTACTACATAGAGATAGAGAAGTGGATAGATTAATTTGCATATGCATAGAGAAAGCCTAAAATAGAAATTCACTATCATATTAAAGGAATTTTAATTCAACAATAAAATAATTCAAAGGTAAAATTTTAAATATTTTTAACAGGTACATTATTAATATTAGATAATATTTATAATTGTGAAAATATTCAATGCTAAAATAAGATGCAATGTCTAAACATCAGTATTAAAACTAGTATAAATATTTGCTTGTTTATACAAGGAAAATTCAAGCTCGACCTAAAATTATATAGGAAATAAAATAAAAATTTTAGGGGAGCTCTTTAATAACATAAACATATATATACACACACACACATATAACATGTATATATGTTATATGGGATAGATATAGATTTAACATGTTATATCTATATTTGTATCTATAACTACAGCTGTATGTATCTACATTTCTATATATTTACTCAGTGACATAAATATAGACTGGAATAAATATAAAGACACATATGATTCTTGGATAAAAAGGATTTAGTATCATAAAGACAAATTCTTTCCAAATTCACTTATGAATTCACAACAATATACAGTTTCATTAGTATAATTTAAAATTTTAGATAAATTCCAAGATTCATTTAAAGGAATATACATGTATACAAGCAGTCAAGAAAGAAGCAAGAGTGCACTAAACTAACTTGCTATTAAAATACATTTTTAAACTTAGTAACTGAAACTGAGCAGTACTGATTTCCAATACTGGAATTTAGGTATATGGGATCTCAAAAGCACAGAGCTCAAAGGAGACCCCTGTATGCATGAGAGCTTAGGATGTGCTTTAGAAAATATTACCAAACCACGGGCAAAGTTACTTTAGTGTCTTAGTCTTACTAGGTTTGAAAAGCCAGAGAAAAGACTCAAGACCACCATATAAGAGCAAAACAAAAGGACAGGGAGAGAATGTGAAGATACTGAAACATTTTACGTAAAGTTGTATAAAACATCCTTTAAAGAAAATGTGAAGTTTAGGATATACATCAAAATCAGCAGAGCCACTAAATAAATAAATAGGCATTGTAAAACAGCAAGAGAAAATTTAAATGGATTTCTAAAAAATTATGACACCTATGATTTTTAAAATATGTTTAAGAAATCCCGTATTTCACAGGGCAGCCTTTCACAACACAGATATGTTAGGACATAAAGGTCCTTCTGTTTTTAATGTACTAGAGGTTATAGGGTTACAAATGTCTTCTACCCTTGTCTTTTGTCTGATGGTGCAAAAAAATTTCATAAGCATGTATTTCTGAATGCCTGATGGATTGACATATATAATATGCTGCTAGTATTAAAATATGTGTCGGAAAACACATCCAATCTTCTCACTGTTTACATAAATTCTAGGTTTCTCCTATTTACCTCAAACACGTATGGAGCGAATTCTTACCTTTTAATATTGCCATGGCATTCACATTGAACATAAATTGAACTCTCTCTTATGGTAGCTGGGTTCAGATTCCCTTGACAATTTCCAGTTCTAACCCTCACAGTTCCTCAGTGTGGCTGGCCCAGGTATTGACCCTACACAGTTGCCTCCTCCTGGTGACTACCAGCTATGGAACCGTTGGATACAACCTACCTGACTCACCCCACAGACCTCACAGCGCACATGGACAGCCTCCACATGCCAGAGTGACCTGCAGCGGGAGTCAAGAAATGTGCCTGCTGGCACTCACCCCACAGACTAGTGCCCCGTGGAAAACTTATTTGGGTAATGTTCTCGGCCCAATAAAGGCTGGAGTCCCACAGACCCCTTTTCTCTCTCCTGCTCCCCACTCATCTTCCCCATTTTGTTCAGCCGTATGAGGTGTGCTACTGTATTAGTCCATTTTCACACCACCGGTAAAGATATGCCCAAGACTGGGTAATTTCCATAAGAAAGAGGTTTAATAGACGCACAGTTCCACATGGCTGGGTAGGCCTCACAATCATGGTGCAAGGTGAAAGGCACGTCTCACATGACAGCAGACAAGACAAGAGAGCTTGTGCAGGGAAACTCCCCTTTATAAAACCATCAGATCTTGTGAGACTTATTCACTATCAGAAGAACAGCATGGGAAAGACCTGCCCCCATGATTCAATTACCTCCCACCTGTTCCCTCCCACAACATGTGGGAATTCAAGATGAGATTTGGCTGGGGACACAGCTAAACCCTCTTCTCAGCTACCCTTTTCTCTCTCGATCTGTGAGTAATAAACCTACTTCTGTGATTTCCCATGTTTTGTTCTGTGGCCTCCATGGGTCTGAGCTGAGCTACACTGGAACCTAACTCTCCACCTGGCCAGGGTCTCTGAGAGTGGCTCTTGTCAGAAATACACAGGACACAGGTCAGGCAACAGTCACCAGGCATCTCCTAGTCTCAACAGATGTTCTGTGAGAGGGAGGCCTGGTCGTGGGATGCACACCTGGCCACTGCTGGGGTAAGGAAGTGTCCTGTGAAAGGCACATGTTAAGCATCCACAATGCCCTGACCAGAACCCCAGAAAGGCAGGGCTCCAATTGACAGTCACTCTCCAGAGACAAATCTCAAGCCCTAACTGGAGGAAAAGAAAACAATGTAAAAAGTTGAATTTATCTTACTATTTCAATGATCCAGTAAAGACATTTTATGCCTGTACACCACATATTTTCTTCGATTGTGGATTTATTTTAGATAGAATTTTATGTCTGGCTTTCACTTTAGCCTGGTCCCTACCTCAAGCATAAGGTAAAGATTTTCCATGGGTTCTTTTCTGGTACTACTACCTGCCAGTGTGGGGTCATGTCCTAGTCTATCTTGAGGGAATCCCCCTGTTCATTATTGTCAGAGTGAGACTGTTAAGTCTTGATTTCCCTGGACAACTTCACTGCATGACTTAATATGATTTTTTTAATAGACCCTTTACTGGGCAATAAATTATATAGTTATCTGAGTAAGCGATATGGTCAGGAAGAGGCATTGCCTCATTCAGCTTTTCTCTTTGGTGAACTTGCATATGTTCTCCTCACCCGCCAGTCACCTCTAAACTGCATTGTTCCAAGACAACAAACAGAACTCGAATGTGTATCTTTCACCACTGGATTTGTGTTTGCTCCATAAAGCTTCATGCTTAATAGGGTTGCTGTTAGCATTTTCTCTATTTATTTTCCCATAAAATATCACAGGCCTTCTTCATATGGAATTATGGGTGATTTCCTTCAATCTGCATAATATCAAGTTGAGGTTCATGTTGATGAAAAGTAAAACATACGTTTAAAATATCAGTAGTGATGTTTTCCCCTCCTTTTTAGCACATGTGCTTGTGATACAAGCACATTTTAATACAATTGTAGTCTCATGCTTTGATCATTCCTAAGATGAAAATAACATTTTTAGATAAAATATCTGAGTCTTATGAGGCCTTTAGTATGTGATGTGATAGAATATCAGAAGACCATACTTTTTTTCTAGTTTTCCGTGCAATTCTATCATTGTTTCATCTTTACTCCTACCAGAGTAATTTTCCAAAATAGCTATCTTGTCATTCTTCCTGTTGTTATCAGTAAATAAGTGAAATGAAAAGCTAGATTATATAATTTATCTAGAACAAGAAAGTAGAATTGAATCTACATTCATTAATGAGACTAACCAATTACACAGATAGGCATTGTACATTTTGAAGGTCATATGGACCCATTGTCAGAAATATTATTATTTATGTCTATATGGACATCACCTGTGCATATTTACATAGAAATCAATGAGAGCTGATTTTTATTTTTATGATATATATTTTTTGAGATAGGGTCTTGCTTTGGTGCCCAGGATGGAGTGCAGTGGTGCAATCACTGCTCATTGCAGCCTCAGCCTCCCAAGCTCAAGCAATCCTTCCACCTTGGCCTCACAAATAGCTAGGACAACAGGTGCACATCACCATGCCCACTTTTTTTTTTTTTAACTTTTGATAGAGACTGGGTCTTGCTATGTTGCCCAGGTTTCTTTTGAACTCCTGGGCTCAAAGAATCCTCTCATTTCAGCCTCTTCAACTGCTGGTATTATAAGCATGAATCACCATATGGGCTGGAAGCTGATTTTTAAAATACTGAGATCATATAGGTGACAGCAACTGAAAAATAGACAACACCAAGCTTTATGTTAAAAAGTGTGAGGGTATCAATATTGTTGTGGCTATTGGGGAGGAAAACATTAGTAAAACCAGTAAGTTAAAGCTCTTGCTTTAAACTTTGGCTTTAATTTAGCAAATGTTCTACGGAGTGACAGTATGTATGTAACCATGCTATGCCCATTCACAGATGCAGTAGAGGGAAGAATTTCTCAAAGACAACTGTTCTAAGATTGAAATTAAATCGTACTGGGTTTGAAAAGAGAAAGTCCAGGAATTACCAAATATTTTAGATATCAGATAAAAAAGATTGCGAGGTATGCGATGATAATCAGCAATGGTTGTTCACACAATGCATCAAATCAGTATTTGAATTAGCTTTTGAATTCCAAGGACAAATGGATCAAGTCTAGACTCTTTAGTAGATAAATCTTATTAGGCTGAGATGTGTTTTCCCCTGTTTTTCCACAAGGAGATTACAAATTTGCAAACCTCAGCTGCTCTCATTTTATGCTTTCACCAAGTCAAAAGCTGAAGTTCATCAATCAGTGTATCTAAGTGTTCACTGGTTATATACCATTTTGTAGTTTCAGCTATCTTTCCAACTTCCTAAATCATCACCTTCATTTGATCTTGTTTTTTCCCACTATCACTTCTTTATTGACCATATAAAGAATATAAGTAAGTTCTTATCTTGTTATTGTTCATTTTAGTCTAATTTCATCAAAATATCACAATCTTTGAATTTCATTTTAATTTCAAAGATTAAATGAAACCTACATCGAAATGAGTGTAAGATTTGCATTTGCATTCTTTTGGCATCAATTTGCTATCCTCCCTCATGCACATAGAGATCATTTCCATGTACGTGATTTCAAACATCCAAATGCAGTATTAAAAGCAGTTGTAAATTATGGTTCTTATTTTCATGATACAATTACAATATAAACTTCCTCTTGCTGCTGTAACCAATTACTACAAACTTCATATCTTACAATAAAGTGACCGTTAATCCTACGGTTCTGTAGTTCAGAAGCCTTAAATGAAACTCACAGGGCTAACTAACGTCAAGTTTTGGGCAGGGCTGCAGTCTTTCTGAGGGCTATGTGGCAGAATCTATGTACTTGATTTTTTTCAGCATCCAGAGGCCACTTATTCCTTGGAACATGACCTCATTCTTATATCCTATTTTTCTTTTTTTTTTTTTTTTTTTTGAGATGGAGTCTCCTTCTGTCATCCAGGCTGGAGCGCAGTGGCACGATCTCAGCTCACTGCAACCTCTGCCTCCCGGGTTCAAGTGATTCTTCTGCCTCAGCTTCCTGAGTAGCTTGGACTACAGGCACTTGCCACCATTCCCAGTTATTTTGTTTTTGTATTTTTAGTAGGGTAGGGGTTTCACCATGTTAGCCAGAATGGTCTCGATCTCCTGACCTCGTGATCCGCCCACCCCAGCCTCCCAAACTGCTGGGATTAGGCGTGAGCCACCGCGCTGGGTCCTCATTCTGGTATCATAAAAGTCAGTGATGTTGAGTAATTTCTCATGCCACCACCTCCAAGGTTGCCTTTCTTCTGCCTTCTTCTTTCACTTATAAGGAAGTTTGTGATTTCATTGATCCCACCCATTTAAGATAATCTATCATTTTTCCACAACCTTAATTTCACTTGAAATCTAATTTCAAACTGCCGTGCAACCAAACATATTTGTATGTTAGACTCTGGGAATTAGGACATGAAAATTTTTGGGAGGCCATTCTTTTGCCTACAGCAGACATAATCTATTTACCTGCAGATTAAAACGTTCTTTATTTTTCTGCCTCCCTCTTTTAATTTTTTTAGAATAATATGAATTGTAGTAAAGAGAAAGAAAGAAAAGAAAACAAAGAAAAAGAAGGAAGGAAATAAGGAAGGAAGGAAGGAAATAAAGACGAAAGAAAAGAAGGAGGAAATGAGAGAAGGAAGGAAAGGAGGGAGGGAGGGAGGAAGGGAGAAAGGCAGGAAGGGAGAAAAAACAAAGCATGAACACAAGAAAGAATGAAAGAAAGAGAAAGAAAGGGAAAGAGAAAGAAAGAAAGGAGGAAGGGAGGAAGGAAAGGAGGAAGAGAGAATCGTAAAAGGGAGGAAGGCAAAGAAACAAAGAAAATAAAGAGGGGAAGGAAGGAAAAAGAGGAAAGGAAGGGAGGGAGGAAGGAAGAAAAGGAGGGCGGGAGGAAGGGAGAAAAAAGGAAAGAAAGCAAGAACGTGAGAAAGAAAGAAATAATACTAGAAAAGAAGGAAGAAAAGGGAGGGAGAAAGGAAGGGAGGGACGAGGGAAGGAAGAATAAGGGAAAGAAAGAAAGAAGGAAAGAAGGAAGGAAGGAAAAAAAAGAAAGAAAAGAAAGAAAGGAAAAGAAAAAAGAAAAGAAAAGGAAGAGGAAAAGAAGAAAGGAAGGAAGAAGGCAAGGGAAGGGAAGAGAAGAGAAAGGAAGATGGAAAGAAGGAAGGAAGACCGCAAATATTAGAAATTCTGGGTTTGTTAGAGAATATGCCAAACTGTTTTTTTTTTCACTTGAAAGGAAAGAGTATCTGCCATTGCAGATTGGATGTCTTGTTGGTGATATTGTTGTTCTTATCTTCCACATGTTTATTGAGTTTGTGCCTAGTCTTTCCATTACTAAGACAAAAGTGTTGAAGTCTGCAAATATAATTTTGGATTTTTCTAGTTCACCTTTGATTTCTTTCATGTTTTTCCTCATGTATTTGGAGGTTCTGTTGTTAGCTGCATACCCTAATTAGTAGGATGTTTACATCTTCTTGAGAATTGATGATTATATTATCTATTATCTCTCATCTCTGATACTATTTCTTGTTCTGAACTCTGTTGTGTCTAATATCAACGTAGTCCATCCACAGCTTTATTTTAGTGTTTCCATGATATGGCATTCTCCATACCTTGATGATAACCTATTTATATCTCTATATATTTGGAGCACGGTATAAAATTTAGACTTGATTTTTAAAGAGTTTTCAAGATGTAATTCTTATTTATTTTTGTTCTATTTGAAATTCTCTGAGTTTCCTATATCTGAAGTTTGATTTTCTGTCACTTCTTTTAGAATATTTTTGGCAGTTGTTTTGAAAAATATTTCTTTGGCTCTATTATTTTTTCCTCTTTTCTTTTTGGGATTTCAATCATAACTAGAGTAGGTAATTTCATCTCAGTCTTATGCAGGTACTTTTTCTCAAGGTCTCAGGAATGTAGCCTTCTCACACTTCTGTTCTTTTCCTGGCTGTGTTGGTGAACTCAGTGATATTCCTCCTTCACTTCAAGAGCAGTTTTGTTTTGTTTTTCCTGTTTTCATACTCCCAGCATCGGGAGTATTCTAAGTGTGGCAGTTTTTGTTGCCTTCCCCTACATATTAAGTGGAATATCTTGGTCTATTTGGACTCTTATAACAAAATAACATAAACCGGGTGACTAAAAAACAACAGATATTTCTTTTTTCACACTTCTTGAGGCTGTAAGATCTCATGTCAAGATGCTCACAAATTCAGTGTTGATGAGAGCCCATTTCATGGTTCATAGATGGTGCCTTCTTTCTATGTCCTCACATAGTGGAAGACACACAAGAACTCCATTGAGCTTATTTTATAAAGGCACTAATCCCATTCATAAGGGCTCGGCCCCCAAGACCTGGTCATCTCCCAAGTGTTCTGCTCTCCCTGATCTGTGTCATATACAGACTTTCTTGGATTCCTTACCAATTGCTTGAGAGATCGCAGTGGGTTTGTGGGGAAAAAGTTTTCAAGATGATGGATCTTTCCAAACTTCTGCAGCTGTCAGCTGTCTCCCAATCTCACAAGCCCCACTTTGTCTTTAGGAATTTATTGATTATTCCAGCTTTACTTGTCATAGTGGTATTTGCATCTGTCCTATGTAAGTGCATCTGTCCTCTTTCTCCTTGAAGTTGCTTGCTTTCCCTCATATTTTGACTCAGTTCTTGGCAACCTGGTTGCTATAAAAATAAAGTCATGACTTTGAAGTTAGTTTCGTTCTTACATTGTTGTCAGGTTAGGAACCCTATTCCATCCCAGATCACCAAAACCCAGAGTTTTTTGAGGGTTGAAATTTTAGGCTTTCTCTTTGAATTGTAGTTTTATCTTCTTTCAGTTACCATTTGCATTTTCATAATGATTAATGAGACTAAGCTTTTTTTGTGTAGTTGACTGTACCTTTGGATTTTTTTCCCAAATCCCTTTTCATTTCTTATTTTCTTTGTGGTTTTAGAAAATGTAGTTTACATAATTGCAGTTTGATTTTTTACTCAGTTAATGGCATGCTTAATGGAGAGAAAAAATATTAAATATATTTCCCTTTTTAATTACTGTGCTTTTTTCTTTTTTAAGGAAATATTTCATTATGTTAAATTTCAGTGTTATTCTACTTAGCTATTCCATAAATATTATAGTATTTTGGATTTCATATATAAATTTGTAAGATATCCTAAGTTTATTATGTAGAGAGTAAGGCTATTTTCTCTTTTTTGTTTTTCAAGGTAAAAATCACAAAATATAAAATTAATAACTTAACCATTTTAAAGCATACAATGCACTTGTTTTTAGTATATTCACAATGTTCCAGGGCAATTTCATCATGTCCCTTCCAAAAACCCATTAGGTATAAAGTTGTTACACCTTATTCTGCTTCCCTGAGCCCTAATGACCACTAACCTGATTTATATCCCAATTGATTTGCCAATTCCTGATGTTTCATGTGAATAAAATCAAGTAATATTTGTCCTTTTGTGCACTTATCATAATGCTTTCAAATTTCACCCATATTATACCATATATAAGTACTTCATTCTTTTTTATAGCTGAAAATTGGGTGTCCATTTATGACTCAACAAGCATATGGATTGTTTCCACTTTTTGACTGTATGAATATTAATGTTGTAAATATGCATGCACATGTTTATTTTTTGAGCACCTATGTTTTGTAAGATTAACAGCTGACTTAAGAGAAACAATGGAAGACAAGAGGCAGTAGAAAAATATATTCAAACGATGCAAAGGAAAAAAAACTGTCAGCCACGAATTCCTTATCCAGCAATTATTTTTCAAAAATGAAGATAACACAAAGACTTACCCAGATAAACAGAAATATTAACTGAAGTTGTTGCTGGCAGACCTACCATATAAAAAAAAACTCTAAAATAAATTCCTAAGGCTAAAAGCAAGTTACACAAGCCAGTCATTTGAATCCACATTTTTAAAAAAGCACTGGTATAGGTAATATTAACATTATAAAAACAGTAGAAATGCATGTTTTCTCTTTATCATAAATTGTTTATAAAATAATATGCATATAACGGCCAGGCACGATGGCTCATGCCTGTAATCTCAGCATTTCGGGAGGCCGAGGCGGGCATATTACGAGGCCAGGAGATCGAGACCATCCTGGCTAACACAGTGAAACCCTGTCTGTACTAAAAATACAAAAAATTAGCTGGGCGTGATGGCGGGCGCTTGTAGTCCCAGCTACTCGGGAGGCTGAAGCTGAAGAATGGCATGAAGCCGGGAGATGGAGCTTGCAGTGAGCGGAGATTGTGCCACTGCACTCCAGCCTGGGTGGCAGAGGGAGGCTCCATCTCAATGATAATAATAATAATATGTGCATAATGTATTGCTGAGTATTTGACATATGGAAATGTAATACGTCTATAACATATTTTCCAGTAACATCAAAAAGGAGGTAGTTGGAAGAAAAATGTATTGTGATAAGGTAATCACTCTAGATGGTAAAGCAATAATTACTAAAATATATTGTTGGCTTTGTAACTTTAATAGATGTAACGTGTAAAGTGATAATACTTTAAAATGGAGGAAATAAAAGAGATTTGTATAAGAATGATGTTTCTATGTATTACTAAAAGTTTACTGGTATAAATTGGAAGATGATTTGAATAACTAATTTTCCATATACCTATATGGTAAACTTACAACAACCACAAAAATTCTCAAAAATATATAGTAAAATAATTCATTAGTAATCTAGAGTTCCCTATTTTAGAAAATATTCATTCATTGCAAAATAAAGAAAGAAAAACATTTGAGAAATATACACAACAAACGGTAAAATGGCAGACATAAATAGAATTATACCAATTATAATATTAAATGTGAGCAGATTAAAATCCCTTCAAGAGGCAGAGATTGTCAGACTGGATTAAAACCAGTGATCCCAATATACCCAGAGATGCAAGGATACTAATGGATTGAAAGTAAAAAGATGACAAAAAATATCATGCAAAGAGCAATAATAAGAACACTGAACTCATTATACTCATAACACACGAGATAGACTATTAAAAATGTGAATAGGATTTTAAATATTTATATTGTAGTAATAAGGAGGTCAAGGCTTTTGGAAGACATAGCTATTACAGTCATGTATGCACAGATATCAGCTAAATTGTTTCCTCTATATAGATGCTGAAATCCTAACCACTGAAAATGACCTCATTAGAAAATAGGTTCTTTGCAGGTGATTAAGTTAAGATAAAATCAGATGAGCCTGAATTCAATATGACTGATGTCCTTATAAAAAAAAAAATGAGTAGAGGGAGACATACACACAGGGAGAGTACCATGTGATTATGAGGGCAGAGATTAGCCAAGGAATGCTAAAGACTGCCACTAAACCACCAGAAGCAAGAAACAAGGCACAGAACAGACTTTCTCTCATAGCCCTTGAAGGGACCATCCCTGCTGACACCTCAATCTCAGACTTTTAGCTTCCAGGACTATAAGACTATAAACGTATGTTGTTCAAGGCACCCAGTTTGTGTTAGTTGGTTATGGGAGCCCTAGAAAACTAATACATGAACTAATAACAAAGCATAATAACATGAAGAAAAAATTGACAAAAGAGGAGCATCAGCAAAACGGCAGTGGAGACAGCTGCAATCTTTCATTTCCCCACAGAAACATCACACAACTAAGAGAAACTGTCCGAATAAACTTTGCCAAAACTCTGGAAAATGGTCAAAAGATTACAACAACCAAGTGAAAGCAGACTCAAGAAAAAGACAACTTGAAAACTTTATGACATTTTTAACTTGCCTTTGCAGCAGCAAATTGGCAGTTTTGAAGTGTCAGAAGCCCACGTTCCCAGTGAGGAACCCTGGTCCATGATCCAAAGGAACAAGAGAAGATCTTACCCGCAAATTACTATGTGTCTGTTCTGACTGGTCTGGGGGATACCTAAAGGACTCATGAAAGGCTTTTGTTTTTTCTGTGTTGCTAGAATACAGAACAGATAAGGAATGGACATTATCAAGAAACTCTGCAAGGAGACCTAACAAACCACAGATGTTTAGGGCAAAAATTAGAGCTTACACATATAGTAGATCACCTTCAGCACAGGAAGAAAAGTTGGAGAAGAGTATTTGGAAAACTAAGACATTCAAAATCATTCACGTACACGAGAGAGTCTAGAAAGTCACATGTATGCATAGGTTAAGTCACATGCTGACAAATGTCATAAGAAGACCCTACACTTTTACCTTGGCCGATCCCTCTCCTCAGTGCAAGCTCTGTGCAAGAGTGAACTTGAACTTCACTCAGTGCAAGAGTGAACACACACTTTGTTTCGGCTTTAAAGAACCCAGCACGAAGCCAGTCTGCATGGCCTAGAGACATATTTTGCTGGATAATGATTACTTGTTTTTCTTTTTGTGTTTGTTGTATTTGCCGGTTTGCTTAGTTCCTGACATACAAGAAAATCACTGTCAAAACATTAGCTTAACATTTGTCAAGGAAACAAAAAGACTTCGGTGACCACACCTTATAAAGCAAACAGTTTTGTAAATCACTTTGGAAATTTCAGTAAAAAAAAAAATCCTTAACAATATAATAAGTAAAGAAAATTTAAAACCCCAAAACATTACTGTGTTTGGGGGGGGGGGGGTTCTGATTTACAGAGTAACCACACAGTAATTATAATTATTATAATGCCCAGTTTTCAAAAAAAGTTCCAAGGCATACAAAGAATGGGAAAGTGTGGCTCATTCAAAGGAACAAAACAAACTGACAGAGAATATCTCTAAGGAAACCCAGACTTCAAAATTACTAGACAAAGACTTTAAAACAACTCTCTTAATTATACTCAAATGTCACAAGGAAAACATAAACAAAGAAATAAAGGATTCAGAAAAAATATTAAAATGTAGGAATATCAACAGAGATAGCAGAAATTCTGGAGTGGAAAACTACAACGATAAAAATTTCAAAATCACCAGAGGGATTTCAGAGTATATTTGCACACACAGAAGAAGTCATGAGATTGAAGATGAGAAAATGGAAAATATTGACTCTGAGAAACAGATAAAAAATGAGCAGAGACTAAGGAATCTGTGGGACATCATCAAATAGACCAACATTCATACTCTAGAAGGATAAATTATGTTGTTGAAAACTTTAGCATTCTTTCTTTCCACCTTTCTTCCTCCCTCTCCCTCCTCCTCTTTACTTTTCTTCCTCTTCCTTTCTCTTCTTCTTTCTCTCCTTCATTATCCCTTTCGCTCTGTTTATCTTTCTCCCTTTCTCTTTTTTCTTTTCGTTCAATTTTCTCCATTACTAAGAGATGTTTAAATACCCTTACCATGTGAGTTGATATGGTTATTTCTCCGTTTAATCCTCTTTTGAGATTTACAGTCACTCTAAGTAAAGAGATTACCCAAACATAAGCCTCACAAACAGGCTTCCATACCATTCTTAATTTGGTCCTGTAATTCTTCATTGCTGTATTAACTTTCTGATGCTTTTAAGGATGTTTTATAACAAATTGTTTAGTTTTTTCCACTGGAATGTTTATTCTGAATTATCTAATTCATATTGTAAATATAGAGGGAGTTTAATATAAAATTATTAAACTAATATTTATGAAAGAACGTATTTGTGCATTTAACAAATATGTTAATCCTCAGACTGTTATTGGGCAGCTGAGCATACAGCAATAAAAATAACAATTTTTATGTGTATAATATTTATGGAATACGTTACTTGAACAAATAAATAATTTAGTTAATAACATGACAAAGAACAGAAATTGTATACACTATAGAGCATAGTAATGGAATAATGAATGATTAAAGTTATTAATATTAGGTAGAAAATGAAGGGTATCTTTGAGAGCAGATCTCAAGGAAGCAAGCAATTTGCCTTATGAGGAAAGAGTTACCTGTGGATAAAGGAGAAACTGAAAAATTTAGAAGTCAAGACTTTTTGAGCAAAAACAAAAATATGACTATTAGTCACCAATTCAGTACAGTGAAAAAAGAGTTGAAGAGATATCTTGGAAGTAAACCATGTTGTGGAAGAGCATGTAGGGTTTTGATAATCATGGGATTATTCTGAATTAATTTTAAATGCGATAGGAATATATGAGATACTTTCACCAGAGAATAACATGATTGTGTTTGCATTTCAATGAGGTGTATCTGGTGCACCGTGTAGAATAAATAGGTTATGTGAGCAAATAAATTGGGAGGCTATTGTAATCCAGAGAAAAAAGGTAGTGACTTAGGTGAGAATGCTGTCAGGATGAGTGGTATTAGTGGTTAGAAGTTGTTAGGCCATGGATGTATTTCAGAGGACTGGCCAAGAGAACTGCAGCTAAATTGAAGTGTAGGGAGTGAAATGGAGAACTCAAAGATGACTCTCAGCACTGGAAGGTGACAGCTGTCACTGAAGCATGCTGATGACTCTTATTAAGTGAGTTACTTGGGAATGGCAAGATCAAAACTTCTCACTTTCAAATTTATGAAAAATATTGTTTTCAGAACGAATGACTTTGGGATCAGAAAGCCATCATTCTAATTGATGGTTCCAAGACTACACGGGCTCACACTCCCAAGAGCAAAAGTAAATCATCACAAAGGTGCTTCCTGATAATTCTAGAGAATGGAGAATTACTGTAACATCTTTCTGATTTTAGGAGAGGTAGCAGTTCCCTGTTTAGCCTAAACGCTATTTTTTTTAAAGCTCAGCCAAGAGACTCCATTATAATTTTCAAATGTGTGTAACTTAAATTCTCATATGAAATACCACTATGCTTAAATTAGTCAAAACATTTTCCCCATCTACAACTCTATCTTGTCATTGCAATCATTTTCACAAAAGTGACTGCAGCTCACAGACCCTAAAAGGAGAAAATCCAGGGTAGGTTATCTGATCTAGTTAGTTTGGAAGACAGGATCTAGAGATTATTTAATATGAAATAGGTCACCTGAAATGAAGTGTTTACTGAAAACAGCTTGGATCAGCCAAGTTTTCTACCACTGAACCATGCATTTGGTTTAAAAAACACAACAACTCTGGGGAATATCAGCTGCTTCCAACTGTGTTGAAGGTGTTAAAGAAAAGAGCATAAAATTAAAAATGATCATCTGAGGCCTTTATAGTCTCTGCTCAAGAGACTAGAATCTTCCATTCTTAACGAAACACCCAAATATCTTAATAATTGGGCAAAATCGAAATATCAGACAGATAATTTTATCTTGAAGATTGTTAAATTATAGTGGTGATTCACTACCTTGCCACGTCTCTGACTCAAAAATTAGGTCTTTGTTTAGGAATCAATGGTACTCTGCAACTTGGAAATAGGAAGATTTTAGAAGACTCAAACATTGACTTTCTTGTGTGCAAAAAAAAAAGACGTATTGAGATAAGACAAGTCTTTCCTTGCAAGGATACCTCTAATGTTCATACACCACCTCCCCTAACGTTAATATAGCTTCCAGGTCACTAACCAGTGTCAGAGAGCAGCCCATGCAACTACAAATTCAATAGATGTCGAACACAGGGTCAAGCCTAGAATAAGAAGTCTCAGCTAATTAACTATGCTTTTTTCCCCAAATTCACATTAAGAAAAACTTGGATATGTCAGAGAATGCATTCTAAGTTCACTCAGCCTAGGAGGGAGAAACAATTTTAAATTAAGAGCTGAAGCATTCTTGTCCTAACAGAAAGCAAGGAAAACGAAATATCACACCACAGGAGGGATTTCACAAATTAGTGTCAACATCAAAACCTTAAAATAGGCAAGGAGAATACAGATTCACAATGAACTCTTGTACTTGTTTTGTTCAGAGAAGAGATGGTTCTGAGAGAATGACAGTGAACTAACCCCAGCTGGTTTAGTTGGTGCTTTCAACTGCTGCTTCTGATCAACTCCTTTAGCTAGAATAAATTGATGAGGATTTTGGCATGTGGTATTAGAGATGGTTCTTTTTTCCTCTTATTTGCATTGTTCAATGTAGTAAATACTAGCTGTATATGGCTACTTCAATTCAAATTAATTACAATGAAATATACTTCAATATTGAATTTTTTAGTGACTGTTGGTTCATTATTGAATATCTTCAGCTAAGATTTCCCATCTAAATACACTAAGAGGTGGTTTAGTTAACTGGTCGTCCACAAATATTGACGCTGATGTTAACTCCTGATATATTCTCTGCAAATAGAATATTCATGAGCCTCCTCCTGAAATCAGCAGCCTAGAGATAGTTTTATAAATTGGATACCAGTTGGAAATCTATATACTCTTTAAGTTTTTGAAATATTAGCTTCCCAGGGAAGAAAATCAAATTCATGAGATATGTTAGGACAATTTAACTCAAGATGCTCAAAACTGAAATGATGTATTCTACAATATGTGATAAAACCACCCCCTAACAACTTAAAGCAAAACAGGGATTGACCTTAAAGACCTGCCTTTTCCTCATCCCCCAGCCAGTTTTCAAATCTTGCATTTTATTTCCAAAGGTCCTTATCTCCCTAGTCTCTTGTTTCTAGACTCGGCACATATTTAAGTTTGTTACCTCTATCTACTGACTTTTCTCTTTTCAAACAGTATCTATGCCTGCCAAATGTGAACATATAAAAAAAAACCAGAATGTGCCATTCTGATTTAAACTGCTTATTAGTTAAAACCCTCAAGATAACATCTGGGTTCTTAGCTGCAATGAGTCAAGCCTACTTACATCTTTTTTTGTCTTTGGCTGCACATTTCCTATCTCATCACACTCCAGCAAAGCCAAGCTGTGCCGGCCTTCTACACCAGATCCACTATTTTGCCCCGCGTCGCCGCGGATTTTTGCCCCCCCGCCGCCGCCGCGACTTTTTGCCCGCCGCGGCTTTTTGCCCCGCCATGGCTTTTTACACCCCGCCGCCGCGGCTTTTTGTTCCCTGCCGCCGTGGCTTTTTGCCTGACCCGGCTTTTTGCCCCCCCGCCGCCGAGGCTTTTTCACCCTCGCCGACGCGGCTTTTTGCCCGCCGCGGCTTTTTGCCCCCCCCGCTCCGGTGTCGCGGTTATTTTGCCCGCCGCGGCTTTTTGCCCTCTGCCGCCGCGGCTTTTTGCCCGACCCGGCTTTTTGCCCCGCCGCCGCCGAGGCTTTTTCATCCCCGCCGCCACGGCTTTTTGCCCGCCGCGGCTTTTTCACCCCCGCCGCCGCAGCTTTTTGTCGCCGCGGATTTTTGCCCCCCCACCACCGCGGCTTTTTGCCCCCCGCCGCCGTGGCTTTTTGACGCCCTGGCTTTGCTCCCCCGCCGCCGCGGCATTTTGCCCACCGCGGATTTTTGCCCCCACGCCGCCGCGGCTTTTTGACGCCGCGGCTTTTTGCCCGCCCGGCTTTTTGACGCCGCGGCTTTTTGCCCGCCCGGCTTTTTGCCCGCCGCGGCTTTTTGCCCCCCCGCCGCCGCGGCTTTTTGCCCCCCCGCCGCCGCGGCTTTTTGCCCACCCACCACCGCGGCTTTTTGCGTGCCTCGGCTTTTGCCCACCCACCACCGCGGCTTTTTGCCCCCCCCCCACCGCGTCTTTTCGCGCGCCTCTGCTTCTTGCCCCCCCGCCGCCTCGGCTTTTTCCCCACCGCGGTTTTTTGCCGCCCCGCCTCCTCGGGTTTATGCCCGCCGCGGCTTTTTCCCCCCGCCGCCGCGGCTTTTTGCCAGGCGCGACTTTTTGCACCCCCGCCGCCGCGGTCTTTTCCGCGCCGAGGCTTTTTGCCTCCGCGGATTTTTGCCCGCCGCGGCTTTTTCGTCCCCGCGCCGTGGCTTTTTGCCCACCACGGCTTTTTGCCCCTCCCTGCCACGGCTTTTTGCCCCCCCGCCGCCGCGACTTTTTGCCCGCCGCGGCTTTTCCCCCCCCCCCCCCGCTGCCGCGGCTTTTTGACGCCGTGGCTTTTTGCCCGCCCCGGCTTTTTGCCCCCCCCGCCGACGCCGCATTTTGCCCGTCGCGGCTTATTGCCCCCCTGCCGCCACGGCTTTTTGCCCCATGGCCATCCTCAGAAGCGTTGAGTGGAACGGAGTGAAGGGAAAACTGTTTTCTTCTAAAGCTCAAAAATCTTGAACTTTCAAATAGGGCTAAGTGTTATTTTTGCTCCAAGCACACATTTGAGAAATCTTCCATTTAGCGGATCTGATGATAAACCCACATTTTTTGTTTGTTTTAATCTGAAAATGTATTTCTCTGCTTCTTGGAAATTTTTTTTGCATATAAGATTATATTTTATCATCTTATTTCAAGTTTTATTTACCATTTGATGATTACTCTTAAAATGTCCTTGATTAAAGAATCATCTATTGCTCCAACTGCTCTTTACTAAAGGTAATTTGTCTTTTCAACCTCATCAGGCTCCTTTTAAGCTCTCAAACTGACCTTATTTTTTTTTTACAGATTCAATGCATTAAGTCAATTTATTATTTATGATGAATTTATTTATGTATTTATTTTCACTATCACAAGTAGAAAAAGCCTGTAAGTTGCTATGCCAAAAGCCTGCCTCTAGATGGCAAACAAACCCCACAATACACAAAAAAGAGCCAAATTCTTAGAAACCCTGGGAAAGGAAGAGGACTACTGTCCCATTAACAACTTGGAGCCCTTAAGGCAAGAATGAGGTGGAACATCTGGGAGGAGACACCAGGGTGCGGAGTAGTGGGGAACCTGCTCTGTGCGCTGAGACTGAAAGCCCAGCCTTGCCTCTCACCGCTGCCTTGACTGTGTCCCCATGTGCTGTGAAGTGAATGGTGTCTTCTAAATTCATGCTGAGCCCTAATTGCTGAAAAGTGTAAGACATGCAATGAGGGGATTATGTGCATCTTCCCGACACCAACATGATGCTCAGGAAGGAGACTTCTTGTTTTCTCTTAGGATTCTTTTACTAACCAAGATTTTGCCTCTACTGCATATTTCCCTTTGCTGATTGTCCCTCCCTTTTGACAGAAGATGGCCCAGGGCATTCACTACTAAGTCTCAACCTCTTACCCAAAGCCCTCAGTCTAGTGTTGCTCTTTCCTTCATGCTATTTTTGTTTGTTTCTTTTCTTGTAATCATCTTGGCAATAAAATAATCAGTTTTTTCTTTCTACCTATTAAAGATGTTACCTTAGTTAATTACAGTGGTTTCCTTCAGAATGATAAATGGTCTTTCAAAATGATGTAGAGAGATCTAAATCCGTGTGCTCCAGAAGTTGAATGAAGATCTGTCTAGCACGGGTGCCAGTGACTCTCCCAGAGTGCTCCATGCAGCTGGCCCCACAGAGTCCCTCTGTACTGTCATATCACCCACTGCCTTCTGTGAATGAGATATTCTGATTAGAATCCTGGTGGATGCTATTTGAGCCAGTGCCCCCACAACTCCTATGAAAGCCGAGGACCACAGGCCCCTGAAGACAATCACAGGTCTCTAGACTCACAGCTCATGACCGTCCTCTGCAGACACAGCTTCTCCCTGGATGGCTGAGGGTTGTCATTGGCTGTGTCCTTCCTTGTGCATGACAACAGGAGACATAGAAGGTCTGTAAGCAGCCCTGCAAGCCAGGTTCTGAGCAAGCCCTCCTGTGTGGGGCCCTCTTACCTGGACATAGGTGTGTAAACCAAAAATGAAACTCTAAGCTCCCTAACCAACTGAATGAACTCCTCCTCTCAACCAAGGACACACCAAAATCAACCTGAAATACAATGCAGTCCATGATCGGAACGGATGATTGGATATGCCTTAACTTACCCTCTTCCCTTTAAAATTCAGGCACAACTGACCAGCTTTTAATATGAAGACAGAAACCTTGAGACTGACAAAGAAAACTCTTTATAGCAATAAGATACCAATGTGACAGATACCACGTCCTAAGAGAAATCAAAGTATTTTCCCCAAGCTATTGTTATTTAATGTATTTAAAAATGCCTCTGCAAAGCTGGTTCTTGTGGGAAAAATCTACATTCTGTAGAGATTCCTTTTTAAATCTCTTTCCTGACACAGAGAGATTTAACTAAGAGTTTGGCACCTTTTAAGTCTAATAAGAAACAATTACAATCTATTCTCTCTGAAGCCTGCTACCTGGAGGCTTCATCTGCATGATGCAACCTTGGCTCCAAAACCCTTTTTCTAAACCCAGAAACTCCCTTGTGTTGATTACAGGTCATTAGATAAACGCTTTCAACCACCTATGAAATCTCTGAATCCACCTATGACCTGGAAGTCCCCAACATCCCCCCTCCTTCGGGCTGTCCTGTCTTTCCATATCAAAGCAATGTACAGCTTACACGTATTGATTAATATCTTATGTCTCCCGAAAACGTGTAAAACCAACCTGTAGCCCGACGACCTTTGACACACGTTCTCAAGACCTCCTGAGGCTGTTTCACTGATATTTCTTTAACTTTGACCAAATAAATTTCTAAACTGATTGAGACTTTTCTCAGATACTTATTTGTTTATAGGTATCACTGGATACACTTAAGGAATTGAAGAGATTTATGACATTGAGAAAAGGAGGAAGCCAGGGTGTATGGAGAGAGAGAGAGAGAGAGAGAGAGATTGTGATGTATGTACAGGACTAACACTGAGACCTGGTTATGTAATGGTGTAGTACTGAGTATCATCCCCAAATAGTGAGGTTTCATTCCAGGAAGACTATACATGTATCTCATTTGGGAAAACAGCTTTTGCAGGTGTAAATTAAGGAGCTTGAAACAGGGAGATATTCTTAGATTAATCAACTGGGACTTAAATGCAAACTCAAGTGTCCTAAAAAAACCAAGAGGTAGAGAGACATTTAGCATAGACTGAAGTGGAGAAGGCAATGTGAACACAGAGACAGAGATTGCAGTCACGTGTCCACATCCCGGGAGAGAGAAGCCACCAGAAGCTGGAAGAGCTAAATCAGACTGCCCCCTACAGCTTCAGAAGGAGCCAGAACTGATGACTCCAAGATCTTAGCCCAGTGAAACTGATCTGGACTTCTGAACTATGAGAGATTCCATTCCTGTTGTTTGAAGCTACCACATTTTTGAGAACTTGTTACAGTAGCCCGAGGACACTAACACAAATGGGGCTCCGGGAAAATCCAGACTAAAGGTGTTGTGTTGGTTTGCAATCTCCTTGCTTAACTTTCTGATACTAGACGTAAATAGATTGGTGAAAAATTTTGTGATTGAAGAAATGTACATGAAACCTACAGTGTACAGAGAAGCATCTGTTAGTTATAAGATAAATATTGATAATTTTAGTTGAAAATGACATATGACTGTCAATATCTCACATAACATTCTGAGTTACTCAAGAATGCATAAAAGGGGCACTAGATACTCTTCTCATGTATGTGTGTGTGTCTGTCTATACATGTATGTACGCTTCATGGTGCATCAGTTGGCGGAACCCTCAGGACACCCCTTCACATCCTCAGTGACCCATTTCACACATGAGGAAACTGTTCATGACAGCACATGGCTGATTTGCATAAAAGTCACTTGGTCAGCAGTTGTTGAAGCTGAACTTGGAATCTAGGTCTGTCTGACCTTAACTATGTTCCTTCCACAGAGCCACGTTCATTCCATAGAGGAACCCACCACCTATAAAACCAGGAAAGAGACAAAGCCAGAAGTGCAGGGTGGATTTCTTAACAAAGGTCACTGCGACCTCTAGTCCTCATCACGCTGACACTAAGCTTAAACCCAGACCCTTCTACAGTTTTGTCTACAAAGCACAATTTGCCCAAAGTCTTTACAAACACCAACAGCCTTTCTTTCAGATATGGCAGCAGGGTCACATCTTACACGGCCCTGACCACATTTTGTCTCCTCTGCCATCCCCATCTCTCTGACTCAGTCCTCGCTTGCAGCCATAAAAAAGGATGAGTTCATGTCCTTTGTAGGGACATGTATGAAGCTGGAAACCATCATTCTCAGCAAACTATCACAAGGGCAAAAAAAAATCACTGCATGTTCTCACTCACAGGTGGGAATTGAACAATGAGAACACATGGACACAGGAAGGGGAACATCACACACCAGGGCCTGTCATGGGGTGGGGTGAGGGGGGAGGGATAGCATTAGGAGGTATACCTAATGTAAGTGACGAGTTAATGGGTGCAGCACACCAACATGGCACATGTATACGTATGTAACAAACCTGCACGTTGTGCACATGTACCCTAGAACTTAAAGAACAATAATAATAATAATCATCATCATAATAAAAGAATGAGTCTTGTACATCTAATTTGCCCCACAAATGTTAAAACAGCAAACCTGCATCCCCTTCCTCTTCTCATGTGCTGTGAGGGATGACCTCCAGGCTCTCAGATATTTCTAAGATATTTCTCAGTTGCTATTCTCATGGGCCAGGAGAAAACATCTTTTGTGAGGCTAGCTCTCTTATATCCTCATACTCTCTCCCCCACATAGCATTTTGTTTCTTTGTAATCCTTTGCTGCTCCTGAGCTACAGGATCTAGAAAATAATTGGAAATTTAACAGTGAAATTAATTTCTCGCTAGCATTTGCCTTTATGAGACTGAAACAGTGTGTGCTTTCATCTGATTGCAATACATGCCTGTATGTGTATGTATACAATACACACACATATAACATATATGTATGTATACAATACACACACATATATGTATGTATACAATACACATACATAACATATGTATACAATACACACACATATAACATATATGTATACAATGCACACACATATAACATGTATGTATACAATACATACACATATATCTATGTATACAATACATACACATATAACATATATGTATGTATACAATACATCACATATAACATATGTATACAATACATCACATATAACATATGTATACAATACATCACATGTAACATATATGTATGTATACAATACATACACATATAACATATGTATGTATACAATACATACACATATAACGTATATGTATGTATACAATACATACACATATAATGTATATGTATGTATACAATACATACACATATAACGTATATGTATATATACATGCATAATATGTACATATGTATATATACAATATATAAATTGCATTATACATACATATGTATATAAAAATTGCAATGTACGCACATATGTATATATGTATGTATTGCAATATACATATTGCAATATACATATATACAACGTACACACATATGTATACATGTATATATTGCAATATACACATATATTACCATATATAATATATATTATATATTTATATATAATTTATATATATAATATATATTTATATATAAATATTATATATATATTATATATATATATATTTAAAAATCTATGTATATATGAATGTATTAGTCAGGGTTCTCCAGAGCGAAAGAATAGGATATATATTCTCAGGGAGTTTATTAAGTAGTATTAACTCAGATGATCACAGGGTCCCACAGTATGCTGTCTACAAGCTGAGGAGCAAGGAAACCAGTCCGAGTCCCAAAGCTGAAGAACTTGGAGTCCGATTTTCAGCATGGGAGACAGATGTAGAATGGGAGTCTAAGCCAGTCTAGCCTTTTCACGTTTTTCTGCCTGCTTTATATTCTGGTCACACTGGCAGCTGATTAGATTGTGCCCACCCACATTGAGGGTGGGTCTGCCTTTCCCAGCCCACTGACTCAAATGTTAATCTCTTTGGCAACACCCTTACAGACACACCCAGGATCAATACTTTGCATCCTTCAATCCAATCAGGTTGACACTCATTGTTAAACATCCCAATGAATATATATTGCAAGAAGAAATATATGTGTATTTTTTCTTACTATATTACCATATGTCAACTATAAGAAAATAGTGTGGAAGAAGAGAAGAAAAACCTTAATACACACATAAGTAAAGCCAGAAACATCCTTGTAGAATTAGGATATATAATATATCTCTATGTTTTAATCTTGCTGTTTTTTGTTTTCCCACAGCCATGTTTCTAAATATGCCTTAACTAGGTACAGTACAGACTTGGCAAAAACTCTTTCCAGTCAAGGTGCATACATAGGTAGAATTTTCTGTTTCAAGAATGATTGATAAACAGATGGTGTATCTGTCAAGATTTTCCAGAGAAAAATAAACAATAAAAAATGTGTAGACAGATGGATGAATGGATGAATGGATGGAGAAAGAGACAGAGAGAGAGAGAAATAGATTTATTTTAAGAAATTGGCTTATGTGATTGTGGAGGCTAGTAAGTCCAAAATCTGCAGGATAGACCAGCAAGCTGGAGACCCAGGAAAGAATGAATGTTGCAGCTCAAGTCTAAGGCAGTCTGCTGCCAGATTCCCTCTTCCTCAGGAGAGAAAGATGTTAGGAGAGGTCAGTCTTTCCATCCCCCCACCATTAAGGGCTTCACCTAATGAAATGAGGCCCACCTAGATTATGGAGGTTAATCTGCTTCACTCAAAGGCTACTAATTTACATGTTAATATCATCTTAAAAATTCCTTCACAGCAGAATTCAAAATAGTGTTTGACCAAATATCTGGACCTTAACATGTAAAATTAATAATTACAGAAGGACAGATTATGGAAGACAAAGAACACATTTTTTTTACCAGGTAAAGAATTAGATTCATTAATTTTAGGTAAACTGAAATTATCCTAAATTACTTTTAATTCAAACCAAAAGACAAGGAGAGATAATGTAGAATTGTCATGCAAACAGTGTCAAAATCATGCAAAACTGAGGAGACTCAGGGAATTAAAAAAATTAAAAAAAAAACATACTAGGCAAGAATTAGCAGTTTACTTTCTGGACTATGAGCCTAAACTTTCTTTCTTATCTATATAAATATTACCTAAATCTCCATTTTTCTCTGTCTTAGCATTCTTAGACATAGTGTCACTGTCACATAGAACAAAACACTTTAAGTTTTCCTGCAGATAACATGAATCTCAAATATCAGCAGAGTATCATCTTTATTGTGATGTGTTACAGTCAAAGAAAAATATAAACTTTGTATCCTTAGTGGGATTTTCTTTCTGAAAAACGCTGAAAGTCTATTATAAAGTGTGTCATAAAAATCTCTCCCTCAGCCCTAGATTAGTCCATAATTACCTAGTGATCCAATGCGAAGTATGGTGTTATTACAGAAAACTCACATCCTCTTGCAAAAGAAGAAATCTCAGTAAGACCTAAAGAAATAATAGGGGTCTTATTTCACATTTGTTCTTTTCTAGAAGAAGATGAGAGCTATCTTAGACTCATTCAGGTTCTCAAATATAAACCAATCTCTCAAAGAATTCCCAGCACTTCTGAGTGCAATATAACTTACCTGTGTCACACACACACTTCAATATTATATATTTTTAGGACCTCTCCATAAAAGAACTCATCCTGATGCCTTTTTACCATGTTAATATTCAATATTGTTAACTCAGAAGTATTTGGTTTTATAGTAAAGTCTTGTCTGATTAATGAGGTAATTATTTACTTTTATATACTTAAAAATACTCTGACTTCTTTACTATCTTTAAAGGTCAGATAAAAATGCTGGAAATTTGAAAATATGGGTGGATATAATAAAGCAGGTTTAGGTTTCTGCACTATCCAGACAGGAGTCCACATGTGTTGCTCTGGGTTCCCATGGTAACTTAAATGGAAACTTTCACAATGTCGAGAGTCCTTGATGTCCTGCAAATGAAGGAGGAGGATGCCCTCTAGTTCCTAGTAGCTGGAACCTGCTAGGTGGCACCAACCCTTCCAAATGGAACAGTACATCTATAAAAGGAAAACTGATGACATCTACATCCTAAATCTGAAGAGGACCTGGGAGAAGCTTCTGCTGACAGCTTATGCCATTGTTGCCCTTGAAAACTCTGCTGATGTCAATGTCAGGTCATCCAGGAATCCTGGCCAGTGGGCTGTGCTGAAGTTCGCTTCTGCCACTGGAGCTACTCCTATTGCTGGTCACTTCACTACTGAAATCCTCACTAACCAGATCCAGGCAGCCTTCTGGAAGCCACGGCTTCTGGTTACTGATCTCAGGGCTGACCATCAGCCTCTCACAGAAGCATCTTTTGTTAAGCTGACTATCACTACTCTATGAAGCACATATTCTTCTCTGTGCTGTGTGGACATTTTCATCCCACACAGCAAAAATGTAGCTCACTTAGTGGGTTTGATGTGGTGGATGATGGTATGAGTTGGCAGTGTCCCCACCCAAATCTCATGTTGAATTGTACTTCCCATAATCCACACATGTCATGGGAGGAACCCAGTGGGAGATAATTGAATTGGGGGGAGGTTTCCCATGTCTTGTTCTCCTGATAGTGAGTGGTGCTTTTTCCCCTTTTGCTCGGCACTTCTCCTTGCCGCTGCCATGTGAATAAGGATGTGCTTCCTTCCCCTTCTGCCATGATTGTAAGTTTCCTGAGGCCTCCCCAGTCATGCCAAACAGTTAGTTAATTAAACCTCTTTCTTTATGAATCACCCAGTCTTGCGCATGTCTTTATTAGCACTGTGAGGAGCAGAGTTGCTTGAACATCTATGATAACTTGCCACAGCTCTAGTTAAGGGCACATTCAGAATTCAAAGCCAGGAGGAGTCCAAGGCCAAAGGCCACTTCATGACCATTATAATTCTCCACTCCCAGGCAGTATGGACAGATATAGAAATTATCCATTGAAAGTTTATGGAGTCAGAGAAATTTCATGAATTTTACAGTTTTTTTTATTTAGTAACTAGCAGGATTTTGTTAAGATTAATAATTTGGGCTCCAGAGCCAACTTTACTGGGTTCAAATACACTTATTAAAAATAAATGAGGTTATACATTACTGAGTGGTAATGTAAATTGACAAAACTTTCCTGAGTAAAATGTGGTAAAATGCATCAAAAGCTTTAAACATGTTAAAATCATTGTCCCAGGAATTTTACTTATAGTTTCATTTAAAGAAAATTTCTATAATGTACACAATAATTAATTACAAATGCATTTAATTTCATTGTTGTTTTGAAACAACCTAAGTGTACAACAATAGGGGATTGATTAAATGAGTAATAGGAACTTCATATATCACAGGGGAATGCCTCCTTCCTCACCTTTGTTTTGTGGCATCCTCCGCAGTCTGCCTGGCTTCCTTTTCCACCACTTCCTCATCCCCAGAGCAGAGGACCACCAGCTTTACAGTGGTTGGTGTGTTACAGGTATTGGGTAGACATGATCAAAGTTTCTCTGCTTGGAGAAGTTGCTTCTTTTCTTCTTTCCTCTAGCCAGGGCCAGTGCAGGGCAGGGATTTCCTGCTCCCTGGCTTTAAGCTTTCCCTGAAGTGGGTTCTTCTCACAGCTCAACAAACTTCCAAAGGATGCAGTGAGCAAGCCAATTTTTTCTCTCATTGTAAGCTGTGCCTGCCAATTGTGCCTTAATTAGGAATAGGGTGATATTCTGGTTCTCCACTTGCTGTCTATTTTTCAATTGAATTGGGTAGAAAAGACAGGTGCTACTTACTGAGTGCTCTCAAAGACCCTCAAAAACACTGAGGAGAATATTATAGCCATTAAAACTGACATATGAAAAATAACATACTTATGGTTGGAAAAGGTCATGACATTTTAAAGCAAAAAAGCAGGTTACACAAAAATGTGTAATACACAGTTAAGAAAACTGGGGGGATAGCAATACATTGTGTTTATTTTTCTCTTGCTTATTCTGCATTCTCTAAATTTTTCTACAAATATTTGTGTTGTTAAAAATAAGAATAAAAACCTATATTTAACAAAACAATACAACAAAGGAGGAGAGTTTATTTAACTTTATGAGTCTCAGTTTTCTCCTCCCCTAAAATCCAAAATAACTCTCTTTGGGTTGTTGCGAAGACTTCATTGACTGATCTATGAAAAAGGGCTTGCAATTGTGTGCGTCATAGGTAGTGACCTGTTTTAAACTTTCAGTCTCATTTTATAACTATAATTTTGATACCTTCCCAACTTGGCCTAGTTATAGTGTAAAAACTATAGATTCCTTTTCATTAATTTTAATAGTCACTACCACTTTAGTATCAATTATACAAGTGCAAAACAAAAACAAAAAATCGTTATTCAATTGCCTGCTGCCAATATTGGTGAGATATTTGACCTCTAGGCTCAATTATGATTTTGTTTCATAACAACAGTATTCAAAATTGTTCAAGATGTAGCTGGCATTATAAAATTTTAGATGATTTTCTTCCATAAGCCAAAGGTAAATTAAGATTTCTTTCCTCTTCATAAAGGAAAAAACCTATTTTCAGAGTTAATATGACAGTGGCTATGGCTATAGCTCTCTTTTACTTCAAGAAAAAAAAGTAGAGAATGGTATGGTGTATTTGGTATAAATAAAGGAAACATGAGGATGAGACAGAAAACACGTTCAAGAAGAAGTAATCTTCTCCCCTTTGACAGCCAAAACACAGGTACATTTTTAGCCTCATTTGGTTTCTAAGACAGTTCTTTTTAAACAAAGAAAAAAAAATCATGTTTTGCACCCTCAGTCTCTTCAATGCATGGTAAATCAGTAGCAAAGTAATGATGAATGTGGAAATTAATCAAAAGCAAAACTATAGTTTTTACACGTTTCTTAGTGAATTAATGATTTCCCTTTATTACAGTAAATGTGTCAAGACCATAAAATGTGAACAAAAATTTAAAGTGTAAGATTAAATGCTGTTGAAACTTCGCCTGACCCTTATTAATGCAACACTGGGCTTAAGCAGAAACCTGGAATAGAAATAGAAATTATAAGAAAATGTTACAGCCAGAAATTTTCCAGTAAAGGCCTAAAAAAAAATGAAGTAAATGACAATAGCTTTAAAAGATAAGTCAGGGGAAGAGCCATCACAATTCAATTTTAAACAAGGCCAGGGGCAGAAAATGGTACCTATAAAGAATCAAATGTAACTGAGAAAAATAATCTTGTAATAAGTCAAAGAGTGGTTTTGAAGGAGAAGATTCAATAATCCAGTTGTTAGCTCTTAGCAGGAATCCATTAAAGGAGACATGCACTAAATGCTCTGCTTGAGCAAAAGTATGTTTCTTAAGGTAGAAAAGTTAGGAACAGTGCAAATGCTTTGACTAAATGAACTGATCACATTGGTCAAACAAGAACGTTTTGGAAAACTATACATACTTCTTCAAAATAGAAAAGGGGAGTAGGGCTATTCGGGGAACCAATGACTCAAAAATTCCCATGGAAAATAAGTGTGCTTAATTTTATTTTTTAAATGTATTTTTAGTCCCAGTATGAGCAAGGCTCTACAATAGATTCTGCAGAATAAAAAAGTAGAAAACAAGTGGGCCCTCTTGTTGAAGAGTTCATTGCCTAGTACAAGGTGTGAAGATGCCTGGAAGAGGGAGGAACCAGCTCTACCTAGAAGTTAGAAAACTTTTCCTAGCTCAGGGTGTGAGACAAGAAGACAAGTTTTAAGTAGAAGGGTTTCCAGGCTGAGAGTCTAACATAGGCAAGACATGGAGTCATGTTCTAGGCAGGCTGATTATATATTCCTGATTAACCTGCAATATAAGAAGTCATTGAGAAAGTGATTGAAAATATAACAGGCCAGAAATGCAGGTGAGAGGTAATTAAAAACTTTGATGTCCTGGTAAGAAGTTTGAACTTAAACCTACACTAGTTGCAATCCACTTATGCAGGGAAATGGAATATGTTCAGCACCATGGTTTAAAAAAGGTTACTCTGATATCAGTGAAAAGTGAGACAGCCTATTGTAATGTTGAAAAGCTCATGCTTTAGAGAGAGGCAGATCTGGACCCAAATCATAGCCTTAATTTAAACCTTTAAGCCCTAAGCAGCCTTCAGTTTTTTCATACTTAAAAGTTGGATAATAGTATCTATGCTTGGAGTACGGGGGGGTAAGGGAGACGGTATGAGTGTTAAGAGACTAATGAGACAGAAAGTTAACAAGGATATCCAGGAATTGAACTCAGCTCTGAGCCAAGCAGACCTAATAGACATCTACAGAACTCTCCACCCAAATCAACAGAATATACTTCTTCTCAGCACCACATCGCACTTATTCCAAAATTGACCACATAGTTGGAAGTAAAACATTCCTCAGCAAATGTAAAAGAACAGAAATTATAACAAACTGTCTCTCAGACCACAGTGCAATCAAACTAGAACTCAGGATTAAGAAACTCACTCAAAACTGCTCAACTACATGGAAACTGAACAACCTGCTCCTGAATGACTACTGGGTACATAACAAAATGAAGGCAGAAATAAAGATGTTCTTTGAAACCAATGAGAACAAAGACACAACATACTAGAATCTCTGGGTCATATTTAAAGCAGTGTGTAGAGGGAAATGTATAGCACTAAATGCCCACAAGAGAAAGCAGGAAAGATCTAAAATTGACACCCTAACATCACAGTTAAAAGAACTAGAGAAGCAAGAGTAAACACATTCAAAAGCTAGCAGAAGGCAAGAAATAACTAAGAGCAGAATAGAAGGAGATAGAGACACAAAAAAACCCTTCAAAAAATCAATGAATCCAGAAGCTGGTTTTTTGAAAAGATCAACAAAATTGATAGACCACTAGCAAGACTAATAAAGAAGAAAAGAGAGAAGACTCAAATAGACGCAATAAAAAATGATAAAGGGGACATCACCACCAATCCCGCAGAAATACAAACCACCATCAGAGAATACTATAAACACCTCTATGCAAATAAACTAGAAAATCTAGAAGAAATGGATAAATTATTGGAAACGTACACCCTCCCAAGACTAAACCAGGAAGAAGTTGAATCCCTGGATAGACCTATAACAGGCTCTGAAATTGGGGCAATAATTAATAGCCTACCAACCAAAAAAAGTCCAGGACCAGACGGATTCACAGCTGAATTCTACCAGAGGTACAAGGAGGAGCTGGTACCATTCCTTCTGAAACTATTCCAATCAATAGAAGGAGAGGGAATCCTCCCGGACTCATTTTATGAGGCCAGCATCATCCTGATACCAAAGCCTGGCAGAGACACAACAAAAAAAGAATTTTAGACCAATATCCCTGATGAACATCGATGCAAAAATCCTCAATAAAATACTGGCAAACTAAATCCAGCAGCAGATCAAAAAGCTTATCCACCATGATCAAGTGGGCTTCATTCCTGGGATGCAAGGCTGGTTCAACATACGCAAATCAATAAACATAATCCAGCATATAAATAGAACCAAAGACAAAAACCACATGATTATCTCAATAGATGCAGAAAAGGCCTTTGACAAAATTCAACAACGCTTCATGCTAAAAACTCTCAACAAATTAGGTATTAATGGGACGTAACTCGAAATAGTAAGAGCTATTTATGACAAACCCACAGCCAATATCATACTGAATGGGCAAAAACTGGAAGCAATCCCGGTGAAAACTGGCACAAGACAGGGATGCCCTCTCTCACCACTCCTATTCTACATAGTGTTGGAAGTTCTGGCCAGGGCAATCAGGCAGGAGAAGGAAATAAAGGGTATTCAATTAGGAAAAGAGGAAGTCAAATTGTCCCTGTTTGCAGATGACATTATTGTATATTTAGAAAACCGCATTGTCTCAGCCCAAAATCTCCTTAAGCTGATAAGCAACTTCAGCAAAGTCTCAGGATACAAAATCAATGTGCAAAAATCACAAGTATTTTTATACACCAATAACAGACAAACTGAGAGCCAAAGCATGAGTGAACGCACATTCACAATTGCTTCAAAGAGAATAAAATACCTAGGAATCCAACTTACAAGGGATGTGAAGGACCTCTTCAAGGAGAACTACAAACCACTGCTCAATGAAATAAAAGAAGCCACAAACAAATGGAAGAACATTCCATGCTCATGGATAGGAAGAATCAATATCATGAAAATGGCCATACTGCCCAAGGTAATTTGTAGGTTCAATGCCATCTCCTTCAAGCTACCAATGACTTTCTTCACAGAATTGGAAAAAACTACTTTAAAGTTCATATGGAACCAAAAAAGAGCCCACATTGTCAAGTCAATCCTAAGCCAAAAGAACAAAGCTGGAGGCATCACGCTACCTGACTTCAAACTATACTACAAGTCAATAGTAACCAAAACAGCATGGTACTGGTACCAAAACAGAGATATAGACCAATGGAACAGAACAGAGCCCTCAGAAATAATACCACACATCTACAACCATCTGATCTTTGACAAACCTGACAAAAACAAGAAATGGGGAAAGGATTCCCTATTTAATAAATGGTGCTGGGAAAACTGGCTAGCCATATGTAGAAAGCTGAAACTGAATCCCTTCCTTACACCTTATACAAAAATTAATTCAAGGTGGATTAAAGACTTACATGTTAGACCTAAAACCACAAAAACCCTAGAAGAAAACCTAGGCAATACCATTCAGGACATAGGAATGGGCAAGGACTTCATGCCTAAAACACCAAAAGCAATGGCAACAAAAGCCAAAATTTACAAATAGGATCTAATTAAACTAAAGAGCTTCTGCACAGCAAAAGAAACTACCATCAGAGCAAACAGGCAACCTACAGAATGGGAGAAAATTTTTGCAATCTACTCATCTGACAAAGGGCTAATATCCAGAATCTACAAAGAACTCAAACAAATTTACAAGAAAAAAACAAACAATCACATCAAAAAGTGGGTGAAGGATATGAATAGACACTTCTCGAAAGAAGACATTTATGCAGCCAACAGACATATGAAAAAATGCTCATCATCACTGGCCATCAGAGAAATGCAAATCAAAACCACAATAAGATACCATCTCACACCAGTTAGAATGGCGATCATTAAAAAGTCAGGAAACAAGAGGTGCTGGAGAGGATGTGGATAAATAGGAACACTTTTACACTGTTGGTGGGACTGTAAACTAGTTCAACCATTGTGGAAGACAGTGTGGCGATTCCTCAAGGATCTAGAACTAGAAATACCATTTGACCCAGCCATCCCATTACTGGGTATATACCCAAAGGATTATAAATCATACTGCTATAAAGGCACATGCACATGTATGTTTATTCACAATAGCAAAGACTTGGAACCAACCCAAATGTCCATCAATGATAGACTGGATTAAGAAAATGTGGCACATATACACCATGGAATACTATGCAGCCATAAAAAAGGATGAGTTCATGTCCTTTGTAGGAACATGGATGAAGCTGGAAACCATCATTCTGAGCAAACTATCGCAAGAACAAAAAACGAAACACTGCATGTTCTCACTCATAGGTGGGAATTGAACAATAAGAACACTTGGACACAGGAAGGGGAACATCACACACTGGAATCTGTAGTTGGGTCAGAGGAGGGGGGAGGGAGAGCATTAGGAGAAATATCTAATATAAATGACGAGTTAATGGGTGCAGCACACGAACATGGTACATTTATAAATATGTAACAAACCTGCACGTTGTGCACATGTACCCTAGAACTTAAAGTATAATAATAATAATAATAATAAAAAGAGACTAATGAAAGGACTCAGGAATCAGAAAGGGAGAAAGGGTAAACCTATTCAAGAAACTCAAAAGAAAATAAAATCCAGGACTTTCTGAGTGGTATGAGGTGGAAAAGCTGGGGAAAATGGAAGATGAAACCGAGCTTTCTGTTGTTGGGGATGGAGAAAGATGGTGTATCATTCTCTTGGCCACAGAGACTGGTAGCATTTGGAATCAGAAAGGTTAATGGAAGAGAAATTAGAACTTTCAAACCAAAATTTAACTATAAAATGTGACTATGTCTCTGGGAGAGGAGACATGTATTTCAGAGACATCATGTCTGCATTCTATATTCCACATTCTTCCCCAAACATAAATATAGAGAAAAAAATGAAAGATGTGAAAAATCACATACAGAGATAATAAATGTGCATTTTAAAACACAGTGAATTGATGCTTGAAGGATTATGATAACTAAAAATGATTTATAAAGAAATTCAAAAATCGTATTTACTTTTCAGTATACTATTAATAATGCAATATTTCTCCATGTTTGATTTCACTGATATTTTTGACTTCTTTAAGATTCTGGAAAACATAAAACACGGTTATGAGTAATTATGTTTTTCAATTTGCTTATCTGTACACACAAATAATGGTTCTTTCAAGCATCTATAAACAATCCAGTCTCAAGTACAAATGGGTTTAAATGTAACATGTTAATTTGCTAAAATTCTACAACATTTCCCAAGAAAATAACAGTTTTAGCATTTTTACCAAGTGGCTTTTTTATTTTTTTCACTGCACTTTAGAAGTCAGCCCTGTGCAATTTAATCTTTCAAAGAATCCTTCTGCTGATAAACTACAGAGAGTACATGTGGCTGATTTGACCCAAACCTTTCAGTTAATAAATATGAGACAGAATCTTATAAAAGGAAATGCAATCAGAATTTTCACAGAAGGTTTTTCCTGAAGGATAAAAATAATAATGGTGTTTGACTCACTTTTATACCTGGGAGCAGAAGATGTCCTTGCCAAATATCTTTTTGGAAGAGCTCTAGTTGGACAGACACTTCCAAAAGATAAGCAAAGCATGAAAGATATGAACATCGGACAAAACGAAAGGAAATGAAAGCATTTCCTAAAGCATTTAAAATGATGACATAAAAAAGTTTGTTTATATTTATCAAACATAAGTTGGGTGACTTTTTAAAAATGGAAAGATGAACTTCAGGATATTTATTACCAAGCTGGTCCAGACAGCTTGCATTCATTCATTTACTTGTTCATTCATTCATTTATTGTTTTAGTTACTACTTACGAGGTGAGTCTAAAATAAGGACAAGGCACCATAATATTTTCAAGCAAATACTCTCTAGTTTACTGTATGCATTATTTGGCCTACTAAAATTAGCTTGCAATAACTCATCCAAACACAGCCTTACTAGCTCCATGATTGTTTAGTGGAATAAGGATGGAACATGGGAGTATGATGTAAAATGGGCTATATCCTTGATATCTCATGAGCACCACTCTGGCACAGGCTTCTACCAGCAAGGGTATCCCAGTAGCAGCAGACAGGCATGAAGTTTTTCATGATGTGCATCTGACAGTGATACCATGTGATATTGATAAGCAATGGCATTGGCATCTGGAATCTGTCTCACTGGGTTTGGCAGAAGGACCTAGAGACAGTATTAGATTTTTTTCCCAAAAGAGAAAATGGGGTTTTCCAATGATTAATTGAAAAAAAAATATATATATATATACACACAATAAAACAAAACAGGAGTGACCAGGTACACATCCTATGTTGGCAGAACAGGTGAAAGTGGTTTGGTGTATTTCAATTTTACCAAAATGGGAACAGGCTGCCTATATTATTTTCTATTTTTTTTCTACTTAATACATCGTGAGCATCTTCCCATGTCTGTGTCTATTATGGTATGCTCATTTTTAAGGGCAAGGAACTTCTTTTTGGTCCAAGCTTCTTTTTCTTCTAAAGTTCAATATTATGCTGCCATTCCACCAAGGCTTTATGGAAGATAATTTCCATTAATTTGACAGGTCATTGTCTTGTCAGTTTCAGATAATTAAGGACTAGCCATTAGTTCCTGTACCTATTGTGTAATCTCTTTTGTCTCATCAGGCTTGTGAATTTTGCAGTGCTTGCCAATCTACAGTTAGCTTAATTAAAATCAATGGAGTTGAAAGTTGGTGTGTTCTCTTTCTCTTTCTCTAAAGTATTCCATTTTCCAAAACACCATAAGCAAATAAATTGGCATGTGGAACTTTCTGCAGCCATATAATAGTCAAACACACTTAACCGTGTAAATTTAGCTACCAGCAAAATTGTCTAATTTTGCATTTGCTAGCTAGCCAGTAAACTCCAGGTTTCTTGCATCAGAGGGGGATGCTAACCCACAGATTTTACAGTTCAGAAGTATTATTAGTAAATACCCTCAACAAAAGGCTCAGAAAGTGAAATCAGTTCCAATGCTATCATCTTTCCTCAAGCTGAGCTACGGTGTTCAATTCTCCAAATTTGAGGTAGCTGGCAAAGACGTTGCTGTTGTTTTCTGGATTTAAGCTGGGAAGATAGTAACTGGAGCCTAGGAGAAGAATTTTCAACTAATCAAATGGTGTTAATATAAGACTTTCAAAAATACTAATCACAACATTTCTGTAATTTGCAACTGGCATCAATTGATATATCTTTGATTTTCTCTATAAAAACAAAGATTGAACTGGCCAGATTAGCAACTCAGAGTTATGCTGATCTTCCAGGCTGGAGGCCTCGCCCAAGATAACATCATGAACATTTTATACCTCCTACAGAATAACAGTACACTTGCAATCTGCCAGACTCTATGACTGAAATGCAGAAACAATAAAACAATCATTAGTAACTCTGATTTTGCCACACGCCTGGGCAGCTCAAATTTCTTGACGGTTATGACCCTAAACATCTGCTTGAACTAATATATACTTTGTTATGCATATCTATTTAAAACATATTTCAATAAACATGCATAGTGAAATATATTACTGTCTGTAGTAAAAGGGAAATCCCAATATATTAATGATGTAATGAACTGTAAAAATAATCAATATTGGTTTTTCTGCATGTTGACCAATATATGAACCTATGTTTTATCTTCATTCTCATTTTTCAGAATAAAAAGCAACATCTATTTAGTACATGCAAATAACTTGTGGGAGTTTTCAAGAATATACAAATCAAATTAATTTAGAAGCATATCAGACACCCTACCTATGCAAATGGTATTATTTCGTTAATCTAGTTCTAAACTATATGTTTAACATCATTATACTTCAGGATTATTTTGAATCCTTTTATTTATCAATAATAGAACTTTCTAAGATTTTAAATATAAAATACAAAGCTACCATCTTGAAGTTGTATTTCCTTTATTACATGATAATTAGTTGCATAATTAAAACATGTGGGGTCAAAGGTCAGATATTACAATCCAAGGGATATCACAAAGGATATTGTATTTTTTGCCCCAAATACGTATATTAACAGCAATGGCTGTTACACAGAACATTAAACTAAAAGAGTCAAATGGAAACTGGAATAACATTTGTTGCAAATAATAGGTATAGTGAAATTTCAAGATGATTCTGAAAATATTTTATTTATCTGAACTTATGATAACATATCTGAGTGAATAACTGAGAGTGCATTCAAGGAAGTAAATAGCTCTATTAAAACAGTAACCTGATGATGAAGACTCAACATATGAAGACAGTGATATCCGTGGATGCCTTTCAGACACTGTGTTATTCTTTGGTGGTGACTCCATTATTCTTTATGAATAATACAATTAGTGCAATTTTGAGTCTTTCCATCCTTGCCAATTATCCTAACACTGGAAAATTTTCTGTTTAACACAAAAATACTAAGAACTCATTTGAGAGTATCTTCACTGAGTGGTTTATCAAGCACTGGAATAGCTCCAGAATTAGGAGTTAAATACTTCCCAAGAGAATTCAGTCCACTCTAATATCACTTCGGTGTTAGAAAAAATACCCTTGCACTGACTTGAAAATTATATCCATAGATCTTTTATCCATGACACCTGGGGTCACAAAGAAAAAATATTTTTCTTATTCTTAATTGATATACAAATAGAAGTGTGCTCAAAATAGTAGCAACAATGTATTTCATTACATATGCTTTTATATATAATATATATAAAAATTTCATATATATTACATATATACATTTTATTACACATGTGATTATGTAATAAAATATATTGATGCTACTATTATGTTATTTTATGAGTGCTTATATATAAGCACTTATATATGCTTATATATTAGTGAATGATAGCAATGATAAAAGTGACAAGGAGGGAAGAATTATGATTATTTTATTATTTTAAGGTACTCACACACTACCTGTGAAGTGGTATAATGTTGTTTGAACGTGGATTTTAATTAGTTATAAATGTATCTTGGAAACTCCAGTGCAACCACTGAGAAATGTAAAAAAGAAGCATAACTGATATGCTAATAATAAGGGAGAGAAAATGGAATCATACAAAATGCTCAATTAAAGCCATGAAAGGCAGTAAAATAGTGGAAGACAAACTAAGAACAAAGAAAAAGGGAAACAAATATAAAACTAACAAATATGATAGGTATTAATTCAACTAAATCATTAGTTACTTTAAACATCAATGTTCTAAATATATCAGTTAAAAGGCAAAGATTGTAAAAATGGATTTAAAAAAAACCTTCCCAATTGTATGTTGCCTACAAGAAACATGCATTAACTATAAGAGCACATACTGAAAGATATACTATGCTGATGCTAATTTTTAAAATGGGAACAGCTATATTAATTTTAAACAGACTAGACTTCAGAGCAAAGAAAGTTACCAGGGCTAAAGATGGGTATTACATAATGATAAGGGGTCAGTTCCTTATAAAGACATGACAATCCTTAATGTATAGATGCCTAACAATGGAGCATCAAAAAACATGAGGCAACATCTAATAGAACTGCAAGGAGAAAAACATGAGTCCACTATTATAGTTGGTGACTTCAACACCCCTCTATCAAAAATGGACATATCAAGCAGACAGAAAAAAGAGTAAACACAGCACCGTCAATTAACTGGATATAATTGACATCTACTGACTGTCTTATGATTAAAGAACACACTATTAAAGAACACGTGGATGAAAGAAGAAATCTTAACAACAACAAAATAAGTATTTTGAACTAAATGAAAATGAAAATACAACTTACAAAGTTTGTGGGATGTGTCGAAAGCAGTGCTTAGAGAGAAATTTATAGCATTGAATACATGTATTAGAAAAGAAATATTTAAAATTAATCACCTTATCTATAACAAACTCACAGCCAACATTATACTTAATGGGGAAAAGTTGAAAGCATTCCCCGTGAGAACTGGAATAAGACAAAGATGCCCACTTTCACCACTTGTATTCAACATAGTACTGGAAGTCCTAGCCAGAGCAATCAGACAAAAGAAAAATAAAGGGCATCCAAATCAGTAAAAAGGAAGTCAAAGTGTTCTTGTTTGCTGATAATATGATCTTATACCTAGAAAACCTTAAAGACTCATCCAAAATGCTTCTAAAACTGGTAAATGAATTCAGTAAAGTTTCAGGATACAAAATTAATGTATGCAAATCAGTAGCGCTGATATACACCAACAGCAACCAAGCTGAGAATCAAATCAAGAACTCAACCTCTTTAACAATAGCTGCAAAATGCCACAAAAATATAACAACAAAAAAAATTAGTAATATACTTAACCAAGAAGGTGATAGACCTCTATAAGGAAAACTGCAAAACACTGCTGACAGAAATCATAGACAACACAAACAAATGGAAATACATACCACGCTCATGGATGGGTAGAATCAATATTGTGAAAATGACCATACTGCCAAAAGCAATCATCAAATTTAATGCAATTCCCATCAAAATACCACCATCATTCTTCACAGAATTAGAAAAAACAATCCTAAAATTCATATGGAACCAAAAAAAACCCACAGGGCCAAAGCAAGACTAAGGAAAAAGAACAAATCTGGAGACATTACATTACCTAATTTCAAACTATACTATCAGGCCATAGTCACCAAAACGGCATGGTACTGGTATAAAAACAGGCATATAGACCAATGGAACAGAATAGAGAACCCAGAAATAAACCCAAATACTTATAGTCAACTGATCTTTGACAAAGCAAACAAAAACATAAAATAGGGAAAGGAACCCTATTCAACAAATGGTTGCCGGGATAATTGGCAAGCCACATGTAGAAGAATGAAACTGAATCCTCACCTCTCACCTTATAAAAAAATCAAATTAAGATGGATCAAAGATTTAAATCTAAGACTTGAAACCATAAAAATTCTAGAAGATAACATTGGAAAAACCCTTCTAGACACTGACTTAAGAAAACACTTCATGACCAAGAACCCAAAAGCAAACACAACAAAAACAAAGATGAATAGATGGGAATTGATTAAACTAAAAAGCTTCTGCACAGCAGAAGAAATGATCAGCAGAGTAAACAGGCAACCCACAGAGTGGGAGAAAATATTCACAACCTGTGCAACAGTCAAAGGACTAATATTCAGAATCTACAAGGAACTCAAGCAAATCAGCAAGAAAAAAACCAAACGATTGCATCAAAAAGTGGGCTAAGGACATGAATAGATAATTCTCAAAAGAAGATATACAAATGGTCAACAAACACATGAAAAATGCTCCACATCACCGATTATCAGGGAAATGCAAATCAGAATCACAATGCGATACCACCTCACTTCTGCAAGAATTGTCATTATCAAAAAATCAAAAAAATAGATATTGGCATGGATCTGATGAAAAGGGAACACTTTTACACTGTTAGTGGGGATGTAAACTAGTACAACCACTATGGGAAACCGTGTGGAGATTCCTTAAAGAATTGAAAGTAGATCTATCATTTGATTCAGCAATCCTACTCCTGGGTAACTACCCATAGGTAAATAAGTCATTATTCAAAAAAGATACTTGTACACACATGTTTATAGCAGCACAATTCACAATTGCAAACATATGGAACCAGCCCAAATGCCATCAATCAACAGTGGATAAAGAAAATGTGATATAGATATATGTGTGTATATATATAAAATATATATATATATATATACAATGAAATACTACTCAGCCATACAAAGGAACAAAATAATGACATTTGAGCAACCTTGGAATTGGATACCATTATTCTAAGTGAAGCAACTCAGGAATGGAAAACCAAACATCATATGTTCTCACTCATAAGTGGGAGCTAAGCTATGATGATGCAAAGGCATAAGAATGATATAATAGACTTTGGGGATTTTGGGGGAAAGGGTGGGAGGAGGTTGAGGGATAAAACACTACATAGATATTGGGTACAGTGTACGCTGCTTGGGTGATCAGTTCACCAAAATCTCAGAAATTGCCAATAAAGAATTTATTCATGTAGCCAAACACCACCTGTTTCCCAAAAACTTATTAAAATTAAAAAAAATTAATCACCTTAGAAAAGTAGAACAAAAGCAAATTAAATCCAAAGTAAGCATAGGAAAATAAATTAAAATTAGAGTAGAAATAAATGAAATAAAAATGGGAAATCAATAGAGAAATCAACAAAACCAGAAGATGATTTTTTGAAAAGTTCAATTAAAAAAAAGCCTCTGGCCAGGTTAACTACGAAATCAGATATTCAACATTATTCACACAAACTAAAATAACTTAAAATGGTATATTTAAAATATAACTGTGGTGTACAAAGGAATTGCAGTATACAAATATATTGCAGGTAAAAATCACAATATTTAAAATATTTACCAAAGCCTACTTGACTGTGTACACACTGCCTCACTTCAGCAAGTTTTTTAAAATAATGACTATACTAAATTAACTGCTTGAATTCAAACCTATTCTTTTTCTTTAGGTGAAATTTTTAATTCAAATTTCTGAAATCCAATAATGTCACCTAGGCCAATAATAGATCAATCATGGTGCCTGTCAGGTTCTTTCTGAGCCCTGTTAGCAGCTCATTTAAGTGTCATCCATTAATACACACTGCCTTGACACCTCCAATGTATTTTTTGTTAGATTAGTTTTCCCATGCATTGGGTCCATTATCAATCCTTAATAATGAGAAAAACATGAAATTTAAAATTTAAAATTATCTTTCAAACATTGGAAGAGGAAAGGATGGTTTTAATTCCCCAGGTCGTTAAATGAGTAATGAAGCAAGTTTTACATTCTAACCGTGAGACATATTAGCTGTTAATTTGAAAAGGAAACATTTAGTTTCCAGTCTTTGGGGACCTCACTGCAAACTTTTATTTACAAAGCTAGTTGCACGTGTCTATTATTGTGCATCGTTTTTGAGCTTTTGCATTATATTTTGCATCACCACAGTTAAGGGTAAAATAACAGGACTATGGCATCTGTGTTTAGATTTAGATAGACAAATGGGGAAATAGTGCAGAGAAAAGCCAACTAAAGAAATTTTAATTGTTCCTTGTATAAAGCCCCAGTTTACAGAAAGGTTGAACCAATTCATTTCTGCAGCTTACATATCTAAATCTGTGACCATGTAGCATATGAAACAAATAGGGTATCCCTATTAATCACTGAGTTGTCAATATGAACATAAAGATTGGTGTGAATTCAGTGTCCTGCACAAAAGTCTTCAGTTAAAACAGAAGAGATATTATGGTGGTGGATTCCCCAGGATGTTCAACAAACAGAGAAGAGGCCAAAGCATGTTGTCTCAATCTTTCTTCTTGTTTTAGTCCATTCTCACACTGCTAAACGATACTACCCAAGAATGGATAATTTACAAAGAAAAGAGGTTTAATTGACTCACAGTTCCACATGGCTGGGGAGGCCTCAGGAAACTTACAATCATGGCAGAAGGAGAAAGCAAGCACATCTTACATGGTGGCAGGTGAGGGAACATGAGCAAAAGCAGGGAAAACTGCCTTATAAAGCCATCAGATCTCATGACAATTCACTCACTATCACGAGAACAGCATAGGGGAAACCACCTCTACGATCCAATCGTCTCCCATCAGATTCCTCCATCCACACGTGAGGATTACCGGTATTACAATTCAAGAGGAGGTTTGGGTGGGGACACAGCCAAAAAGTAACACTTTTTATTTATTACAATTTTATATCATCCCTAGCAAATTGTTCCAAATTCTTGCCCATCCTCCATCAATATCTAAAATTGCACTTGTAATTGAGAATACTTGCTAAGGTTTTACTTGTACTTGCATATAGAATGGACTCAAGATATGAACGCTGTTTGTCACGATTTTATAAATGAAGACAAAACAGGTATTAAATATTCACCCTGTTTTCTGGATGCTCAGTTTCATAATAAATGCCTGCCTTGGTTCATGCATCAGTACTGTTTCCACTTGGCTTCCTTGGACATCACTTTCTCTTAACTTTTCTCCTACCTCTCTGGCCCTTTTCTCTTGAACACTCTTGAGAATCCTACCTTATCTCCCTGCCCTCTTAAAATGTAAGTGCCTCAAGCTCTTGGTATTTCTCTTCCCCATTTGTGCTTTAGTAACTCAGTATTTTCTAGAGGCTGGCAGCATCCACATATATCTCCAGATAAGACCTCTGCTAAAAAGCTAGACTCATACATATTTACCCCTTTGCTTTCTCCATTTGGATGTTGAATAACCATGTAGAAAATAACAAGTCCAAAACTCAGGTCCTGATTTTTCACCTTCGAATCAGCATCTCTCATATTTTTCCAACTCAGTAAATGACAGCTACATTCTGCCACATGCTAAAAACTCTTGGAGACATCTTCATTCAACCCTTTGTCTTGTATTCTACATCTAGTTTATCAGGTAAAGCAGTTACCTGTACCTTCAAAATACAGTTAAACAAAATCCTACCCTTTTTCTTGGTCCTCCCTGCTATGATTCTGGTCCAACCCACTAAACTCTTTTGTCTGGATTATTAAAATAGTCTCCCTGATTCCTTTTTGCCACCCACAAAGCCAGAGAAATTCTGTTAAAACACAAGATTAATGCTGCATAATTCCTTTTCTCAAAATACTTTAAAGAGTGCTGATTTCAGTTACCTGGATATGTGTAAGACACAATTCCAAAACAGACTGGCTTAAAAAAAATATGTATCACTCCGCTCAAGGTCCTGGGAACCAACTAGACTCAGCTGGGTTGTTTTGGTTTGGGATCTGTCATGTGATTGTAGTCAGATGGAGGTTGAGGCTGAGGTCATCTTTATGCCTTCCACAATCACAGGTTTTCATGACACAACTACGTGAAGGCTGGAACAGCTGGGATTTATCTGGCATTTCCTGTCCTATTTGTGAGATTTTTCAATGTGGTTTCTCCAATTCAGTGGCCTCAAGGTAGCCATATTACTTACATGGTAGTTGGTTTTCTCTAGAGGGAGGATACAAAGAAAACGGTGGAAGTTGTATGCTTTTTTATTAACTAGCCTTAGAGGTCGCATAGCATCATTTCTACCATAGTACATGTGTAGAAGAAGTCATAAGTCCAGCCAAAATGAAGTCAAGATGTAGAGACACCTCTCAATGGGAAGAAATCTAAAGAATATGCCACAGTTTTTTAAAACTACCCTACACTTCATCTCAATTAAAGCAAAAGCCAAAATTTTCTCAATGGTCTGCAGTGGGAAATTGTAGCAAATTTGACCACTGCTTGCTTTTTAAAATCAAGTTGGATTAGAACAGTCACATGTATTGGTTTACATACAATGATGGCTATGTATTATAATGCCAAAGTTGAGTAGTTGTGACAGAGATAATGTGGCCTGCAAAGCTGAACCTGTTTATAATCTGGCCCCTTAGAAGGCAAGTTTACTAACCCCTGGTCTGCAGTTTTGAACACACACACCCTGCTCCCCTATTTGCTCTCTGAATTCATCTCTCTAATACTCTGTTCCTCACTGTATAGTTTAGCATATGTGCCACCTTGCTGTTCCCTCTGCCTAGCATGCTTTTCCTTCAGATATCCAGCTGGCTCATTTCTGCATCTCTTTCATGCATTTGCTCAAATTTCATCTTTTCAGTGAGTCTTTTTCTGAATGCTCAATTTAAAAGTTACCCCTATTTCCCAAAACTCCTTCTCTGCCTTCTCTGAGTGATTTCCCCCCACTTATAATATTTTCATATGCTATTGATTTAACTTATTTATTTTATTTATAGTCTATTTTCCTCATTAAAATGCAAGCTCCATTACATCAGGGATTGTTGTTTGTTTTGTTCTCTAATGCATCCCAGAGCCTACAACAGTGCTGACATGTAATAGGTCCTCAATAAACATTTGTTGAAGGGACAGAGGCATGCATGCAGTGACTAATGAAATAACACAAAATAAATATGTAAAATTCATAGGCAATATTATAAAATGAAATGTATTGGCTGTTTGGGGTTATGTAAGTGGAACATAGAAGTGAATTAAAGCTTTAAGTAAGAGGGAAGATCCTGATGTTAGTATTGATTCCCTTTTCCCCACGATGAATGATGTTTTGAAGATCTTGATGCTAACATTAGTTTAAGCTCATTCAATACTGTCATAGGAGAGAGAAAATCATTTGAGATCTTTGATATTAATATTCCAATCCCTCACCTCTGTCTGTTTGAACTCATCAATCACTTTGGGAATAAAACTGGAATAGTGTACAAATTCATGTTGAGGTGAGGTGTTTTAATATAGAAGATATTTTCTTCTTTCCCTTGATGTCTCAGAATAAAATGATGAAACCAGAAGGAGAGAGAAACTTTGATTTTTGTATTTCAAATTTCTATTATTTATTATTTAAGAGTATATGATTTGGAGTCAGGGTAAAATTGAGTCCTCACCTCAACTCTGTAATTTCACAGCTATTTGTTCTTAGAAAAATTCCTCAATGTTTCAGATCCTCAAGTTCTTTCTCGTTGAGAAAATGAAGACGGTAATATCCATCTCATGCAATTTTAGGAAAATTAAATAAAGTTAGATATTTTGAAAAATGTACCAAATTTAGAATAGTACCTGGTACATATCTTCTCAGTAATGATAAACAGAATATTTTCCCACATCTATTTTCAATAGTAATGACCATAATAGACAGAAATTTTTCATTTACTTGCAATGACCTTAAAAAACTAAATTCAACATAATGCCACCTCTAGAAAGAAGTCCATTAATAGTGGACAAATGTCTACTAAATATAACTTACATAAAAAGAAGTAAGAGATAATAAAACAAATGGGGTGAAACACCAAGACAGTTAAAAGTATTTGTCTTTGTGACTTGCCCATTTGAGCAGAAATTCTTTTCTGGATGTCAGAATGTAAGGAAAGTTTAGATGAAAAATTTCAGTGGTTCAGTTAGTTATAGATTCAGAGTTTTTGTTTATTTGTTTTGTGCTCAGTTGGTTCTTGTGTTTGTAGACATCACTCACATTACAAAAATAATAACAGAGAGAAAAGACTATGTTCTTCAAAACAAAAAGCTACTCAGTAGTGACTGGCACAGAAACCAAATCTCATGGATTATTTAAATTCAATCAAATGTTGTTTATTGATATCACTTATGTGTCAGATATTATGGGAAGCATTGAAGATAAAATAGTACATAAAATACACTTCTGTCTTTCTTAAAGTTCAATGATTTGTTGCCTAACTTTGAGAAATACTACCCTTCACCACAGAATAACAATTCACATCAGCATAACTAGGTCTTGGAGAAGTACTGCAATAAAGAAACTGTGTAACTTCCTTATCACTGAGTGTCTCAAACTTATTTGAGGAGAGTGCTTCTTTGTGTAACATCCACAACTAATATGCTAACACATTCATGTCCAATTTCATCATATCCTATCTCCACTGATTAGAGATCCTTCAAGTAACCCTGAGGTTATGTGCTTTACGTATTTGGCTTCTGACTAAGCATTGATTTAGAGATCAGTTTTCTCAGCAAAACTGACTTTGAAAACCACAAGCAAGAACTATAACCTTTGATCTTCACAGGCGTATGTGAGGGAAACAAATGACTGGCATGAGGTTGTGCAGCTGGTGAATTTGAAACTCAACCATATGAGTAAAAACAATTTGAGTAAGACACAATGAATTTAGACTTCATTTATTCTCATTTTGAAATAATTTGCAAAAGTGTTAGGCTAAGGATTTATATTTTCATTACCTATGAGGAAATAAAGCAAGCAAATTTGGACCAAAACTACAAAAACTAAAGAATTCAAAGTATCATCAAGTGCTTTAAAAGTCACATTTTCAGTATTCTCATCATCACACAAACACTTAAATTGAAATGACAAATTATTCAGTATGGCTGGTCAGAAAAGAGATTTGACTCAGAGACATCTGTTACTAGTTGTTATCTGTTATTATAGGAATTGCCATAATGAGACAAGCTCACTCATCATGGATTTCTATTGGTAAGAAGAAAAATAAGGGATTTTTGTGAGAAGACAATGCTGTCCTTTTAATGTTAGCATCAAAAGGTCCAGGATGAAACTTAATTATTTTTATATTTTCATACAACCATTTAGAGAGTTATCATGAATGAGCTGCCTTTTGAGGAGGGATCCCATTTTATAATCTGTTAGCTTCTTTTCCCAAGAAATTGATTGACCTAAGTGCCATACTATTTTGATATGATCAATTTGGATTGGAAATTTTTAGAAACATGTTATTTCTAATTTCTTGCTCCTTTCTCAGGTAGAAGCAGAATAGTAGCTCACTTGCATAATGCTTGGCACATGATTTGTGCTCAATAATGGAGAGTTGCCATTACCATTATTAATAAAAATGCATATAAAACATATAATAATATATTGTTATTATACACAAAGAGCATACTAGATACCATGCCTCTGGATAGAAGTAGTACTTCTTTCTTAGCATCCAAATTTGTACATTGTACCTTTTTTTGCCTTATTACCTATAATACTTTTTAAATTTTGTGTGTTTACTTTTCTGTCTCACAGAATATAATAAGCATTCCTTGTGGATAAAAATGTTATCTTTTATCTCTGTATCCTTAACTATATTCTACAAATGTTTGCTGTAAGAATTAACAAAAACAAATAAATAAATTGTTAAACTACATTTGTTTTTTTTTAAAAGATAGCATCTGTGTGAAGAACCTACTGAATTCAATATGCATAGTGTTTAAATGATGTTGCAACATGGCCAGCTTGGAGTCCTCATAGCGTGTCGAGTTCTGAATATTCACACATCTTACAGGGCATCTAGTTTTCCCCAGAGCAAGCACTCCAAGCAATAGGAAATGGGAGCAGACTCTGCTTAAAATGTAAACTTTCAGCTGTCACCATGTCATTTCTACCACATTTTACTGATGAAGCAGTCACAGAGCTAACCCAGGTTCAAAGAGAGAAGCAATAAACCCCATCTTTTATGCAGAAAGTGAGAAAGACATTGCAGTCATCATTAATTACCCACAGACCATTTAATCTATATCCTCATTAATGACATTTTCTCAGCTTGACATACTCTTGGCTTTGACAATTAACAAAAACAGAAGAAATAGAAGAAAAAAACCAATATGGTATGCAGTACTCATAATTACATTTTCATTTGTGTTGCTATCCTTGATTACTATACATATAAGAAATTATCTCTCAAGGAAATAAATCATCCTTGTATTGCTTCTGGAGATGAAAATCAATGAGTTTACCTTTTGCTACAAATATAGCCACTCTTTTTTTTTTCTTGTAGACATTAAACACCAATTTTTGGAGACAGTTTTGCATATACAAAGGAATCTGAGCAGCATACCTGACTCAATATTAATAAATGAAGTTGAAATAGGACCTGTGATTGGTCTGTGATGACAGAAAGCAAATAGCTTTTCCTCCTGATACAACTAAAAGATTACTTTGCTAAGCATTTATTTCAAAGATTGGCAAAGAATGTGTTATAACACAGGTCTGTAGGCATAATGGAAGAAATGCCTTGAGCGTCATTCAAAGGAAGGATAGAGAAAAAATATATATAGAATCAATGTATTTTAACAGTAACAGTCTTTTAATATTTATTAAAAATAAAATATTTTAATTTTAAAAAATCAATCTTTTAATTTTTTATTAAAATAGAAATTATAAGTCAAAAGTAGTGATGGACACATTATTTAGCAGAAAATTCTTCAGAGACCACAGGAAAATCCAGGTTGTTGGAGGGTTAATGAGAAGTAAGAAAGGACGCAGCAGTGAATACATCAATTTAACCGTAGGAAAAAAAATGTTTACTGCTGATGAATTAACTTGGAGGCCCTCTATCTAGAAGAGGGGCATTTTTTCCTTGCTTAATAAAAGGGAGTTTATAAAACTTATAGCATCATTGTAATTGAGAAATGTATTTTGAAAAATGGAACAGAATAATAGGTTTTTCATAGATTAGAATAAACCACAGTGTTTAAATATTACATGTGTTTATGTAGTTTTAAAGACAAGGAAAAAGTGCATAGCAAAATTAAAGTTGACATAGAAACTATACTTTACAGATCAAACTTTGACCAACTAGAATAGAAGGGCAAGGAGAGTCTGCAATGAGTTGATTAGCTCTGCTGCGGGAAATTGACCAACTGCAAGTGAACTACTGGGGGTATCGACGTTTTATGTGGATCTTTGTGAAGCACAAAACAAGATCAGCAAATCATAAAGAAACAAATAATGAAAGCTGACTTAGTTGGTTCAGGCTGCTATAACACATTACTGGGTGGCTTAAACAACAGAAATGTATTTCTTACAGTTCTGGAGGCTGAAATTCTGAAAGCAGGGTGTCAGCATGGTTAGGTTCTGATGATCACCTTCTTCCATGGCTTCCTCACATGGTGGAAAAAGATAAAGAGGAAGCACACTCTATCCTGTGTCTTCTTATAAGGGCACTAATACCACTAATGAGTGCTCCACTCTCATGACCTAATTACCTGTAAAGGATCTACCTCCAAATGACATCACATTGGGAATCAGGCTTTAACATATAAATGTTGGGGGCATACAAGCATTCAGTTCATAATGAAAGCAAAAGAAACATTGAAAGAAATCAGCATTTTCTTATTCTTCTATCGCTTAGCCTAAAAGGTAGGCTTGATTTTAAATACCAGAAAGCAACCAACTATTTATACTTCAAAGTTATTTATAGTTTCAGGTACGTGTGTAGTCATGCATCACTTAATGACAGGGAAATGTTCTGAGAAATGAGTCCTTAGGTGATTTGTTGTGTGAACATCATAGAATGTACTTATGCTCTATGTATACCTGCATGATATAGCCTACTACACACCTAGGCTATGTGGTATAGAGCCTATTGCTCTTCGCTTTTAAGCCTGTATAGCTTGTGATTGTTCCAAATGCTGCAGACAATTGTAACACAACGGTAAGTGTTTATGTATATAAACATGTCAAAATAAAAAATGTACAGCAATAATATGATATTACATCCTTATGGAACCACCATGGTATATGCAGACCATTATTGAACTAAATTATTATATAATGAATGACTGTATGCATATTTATGTATTAACACACTAGCTATGCGTTTGTACAGATTGGCATTAAGTAAATTTTGTATGCTTTTTTCTGGGGTTTGGCAAACTATGGACCTCAAATTAAATCAAACCCACCTCCATATACACAGCTAAAGTTTTATTGGAACAAAACCACATTCATTCGTTGATGTACTGTCTGGTTACTTTTATGTTACAATGGCAGAGTTAAGTGGTTATGGCAGAGAACATAATGTCCTCAAAGCCCAAAACATAGACTATCTGGCCCTTTACAGAAAGAGTTGATCAACTTTTGGTTTATTCCATAGAGCAAATATGGGACTCTCAACAAATCCCAATTAGCACCTATAACTACAATGATAGTAATAATTACAGTAGTAGTAATAATTGTTATCAGTTATTAAATGCATACTTTGTGCCAAAATTAGACTAAGCTGAAAGAGCAGGGTCCTATGATTTATAGCCTCATCCAAATCACATGAAATGAGGAAAGAATAGTTAGAAAATAGAATGCCTGTCATTCAGAAGAAAAAGAGATCAATATCTACCATACTATTAATAAATACAAATGTTAGCCTGTCATGACTTGTTCTAATGAATGCCTAACCTCATTCAATATATGAAATTAAATTGGATAAAGTCTCATTAATACAAGAAGTGATTAGTATTTTTTCAGAGGCAAGCATTTGTTGATAATATGCTAAACTTAGTTTGATTCTAGGAGGGGAGCCTCTATGTTGTATTTCCTATTCTTTGTAACAATGAAATAAATAAACAAAACTCTATTTCAAATCAATAGTAATGCCAAATCAAACTGCGTAGTCTCCAGATTGGGATGCATACAAAAATGATCTGCTGTGGTAGAAATAATTTATTAAAAATTCTGTTTACATTTATCTTATCTCATCAATTTTAGTAGGTATTTTTAAATTATATATTAGAAAAATTGTGTACATATAAATAAACAAATATAGTACTGAAGTTTACTTGCTCAAATATTATTACTTATAGAGATGTGCATCCAAAAATGTTTAGAAACTACTGACAAACTATAAGTAAATAACCTGTCAAAGAGTTCTCAGAATCCCTCTAAGATTGTAACTGAGTATGCCTGTAGCATAATCCTTATTAATTTTGCTAGAAAACTCAGTTATGTTCAAATATAAATAAATATACTTATGTTTAAATACAGATACATCAATAAATGCAATGACTGTCATTTCATTCCTTCGTAAAGCCTTTCATTCTCATCTCTTCCTTCTCTTTGCTGATCTTCAAATTCTGAAGCTTCTTTAATGGGATTCCTGTTAGCAAGTTCTCTCCTTTCTGTGTCCTCCATACACAAATGTCTGTGGTTTCTTGATAATTATATTCCATGAACATATTAATCATACCTTTGCTCCTAATTTTATATACAAGTTGGAATCCAGACTAAGCTTTTTTATTTAAAAAAATTACAATCTCAAATCAATAAATGCTTCTACCATATTTTTCTCTCTTTCATTTAAGCATATTGCTATAATTACACTTACTGTTCTTTTCTCACTAATTTATCACTCTTCTTCTTCCTTTCTTTATTATCCATGTAAATTTTAACCTTTCTAAGATAGACTGATTTGTTTTTTTGCCGTGTAGTAAATGATCCTCCTACTTCTAGTCAAATTCTCCACAGCATCAATCAGAGTCTAGTTGTTACTGAACAATGGTCGCAGTTTTGTGCTGTGGTGACTTACCAGAAAGAACGATGATTCCTAGTGAAGTTCATCACTCCCAGTGCATGAGATAAGAGTTACATTTCAGCAAATGTGGACCTAAAAACAAAAGGTGAACCACTTCATCAGATGCTTAATAATAAAATTCAATGCCATTTGCTCACAGATGTACTTTTTCAGCTAAACTGGGTCTCAGGATCCACATGTAGTTCCTCAGCGCTGTAGCGCAGCTCTGATTTGTGCACATATGTGCTCACGTTAACAACATCATACTTTGGAGGTACTTAACATAAAAGAGGAAATAGTTCTTTAGAAGATAAAACTCTCAGTATAGGACATCTGATTTTTAATATTTTCTTTTCTTGTTAAGTCCTAAAACCAGATGATATGAGGTCTAAGCAATATTCTTAAAGGAAATTTGGACCTCTGCTACATTACATCATGCTCACACATCACTTTAGGAAAAGTTAAAAGAGTTATAACAAAAATATTTTATACTTTGATAAACATAAATTTTCAGAACTGAATTATAACTATTGCATTCCAAATGAATTTTCTGTATACATTACTGATTTTAACACCAAGGTCATGGTCATTTTAATGAAAATAAGTAAATAAATAAACACTAGCAGAAAAATATGGTCAGAAAAAAGGAGAATAAAACCTGCATCTGAATTTCAGTTGATAATGGGCTATTTAATAACTACCAGTACACAGCTCTGCAGGGAAAAAGGCAATAATTCATGTTAGGTATATCCAGTACCTAATGATAATCAACATGCTTTAAGGAAAATGAAGATAATATTTCTTTATGGAAAAGAGGTAAACGAACTTCTTTACATAATATGTTTAAAATTCTCTTTTTAGTATTCAGATTTTAATGAACTGCAGATCACTGCAATTCTTCATGTTAAATCACATCTGGGATTTTTCCTTAATCAAGTAAATTGGGTTAAAATATTGCATTTTTATTCTTAGCTTAATAGCTTAAAGAGATATTAAACATTTAATTATTAACCTTGACATGAAAGAATTGGAGAGATTTCTTAGATGATTTAAGGATTTGAAAGTTCTCTCTTCTGAGTGAAGTTTATATGTTAGGATAAAGCAAATCTAACGAGCTATCTTGAAATGGGCATCTGACTAATTGAAAGAGACTAATAATATAGCATACATATATATCCAATGTTACTTAAGGAAATCATTCATAGAAGAATAGATGTTTTATTTTAAAAATCAACTAATGGATGTTAAATATTAATAAACTCATCATAACTGAATAACAGATAGGTTAGCCTAGTAATTTACTCATTCAAAAAATATTTACTGTACATTCATGATGTGGAAAGCAGTATTCTAGGCACTAGCAAGAGAGCAGGGAATTGGTTCTTATCAAACTTATATTCTACTAGAAATAGATGCATATGAATAGAGTTTTCAGAAGAGAAATTAAAGGTTGCAAGAAATATAAAGAATATAAAGAGTCACATATTAATAGGCAATATAGGCAATGGTATGCTGACAAATGTTTAATAACCAGCTCTCTAAAAGGAACAAAGCAAGCCGAGTTTTTGCCATTTTCTGTGATGAAAACATTCCCAACATGACTAATTTAAATTTACTAATATGACATCACTCAATACATAGTTGGAAAGAGGTATACCGTAAGCACTAGTGAGCTGTTATAAGACAGCATTGGCACACACACTATGACAAGATTACTTTAAGTTGGATACTCAGAAAAGGCCTCTCTGGGAAAGTGACACTTAAACTAAGATCTGAAAAACCAGAAAAATGTCGTGTGTGAAATCTTGAGGCATTACACCCTGAAGAGGGATAACAGCTAAAGTTTCCAAACCAGTGCAAGCCTGGATTGTTGGAAGAACAAGAAGGCCAATAAGTCTGGGGTGTACTACATAAAAGGAGGATATACAATGAGATTAGATAAACAGTCAAAGCTTTTCATGCAGAACTTCATAACATAGGGTATGAAATTTGGCAAAGATGTCACTGGAAGGTTTGTGAATCATGTTAATTGTATTGATTAAAACTTTTGCATTTACTCTATGCTGTCTATAGTAAAGCAAAAAGCTATTACAGAAGGAGGAACAGACCTTGGCTTACTGATGATAAAAAGAATAGGAAAAAATCCTTAAAAACTAGGTTGAATAAGAGGTTAGAATTAGTAGGCATCTCAACATATTATTACAATTATGGCATCCAACTTAATACATAATTTGCTTTGCTTCATACAAATATATTTTTCTGCTTTTGTTTTCTATGTTCAATTACCACTGTCTGTCATGTTGTACTATTATCACTTTTAGAAAGTGATTCTATCATACAAAACCAACATAATCTAAAAAGACTCCCTGAGATCATGACCCAAGAGCTTATATATAAAACAAATGTTTTTAAAACTGTGCCTATAATAGCACACAACAGCAAGTATTAGATTCCACAAACATAATATTTGGGAAATAAAATGTTATGGACTCCAAGAGAACTGTATATATTTCTAACTCTATTCAAAAATGTCCTGTAACTCTAGATAGAATTTCCCTGGGCTATAGAAAAGCACAGATGGTATTAGTGTTTATTAGATCCATGAAGCTTGCTTTAAAAAATATATTTGAAACACTGATGTTCTGCTAATATGGCAAGAATATGGAGATCAGAAACAACAATGCAAAGTAGACATTCCTTGTGGGTGGAAGAAAATAAAAATATTTACATTAACCAAGTCTAAGTGCAACAGCTCAATTAATACAAAACATTAATTTATTTTGGGCTTGTTGCAAAATTAGTTTTAGATTGAGCTTTTAAAGTAATTAGGCTAATATTGTCTCCTCTGAGAGGAACCTGGAACAGTGCTATACCATCTGTCCAGTTCATTGTCTAAAGAAAGAAACTGATGCATAAACAGAAAAAAAAAACAATGGATTGTGATAATTTCTCAAAAAAATGTATGATGAAGTGTTACAGCAGCAGAGTAGGAGCAGCACTTGAGATTTGAGAAGATCCTCAAAGAAGAGTTTAGCCCATGTATTGAAAGATAAGTGGGAATTTGTCAATGAGAGGTGAAAGAAGGCATTCTGTGCATATCTGTGATTTCCCAATGGCTAAGATATGAACTACTTGCAAGAATGAAGAAGAGTGATGATTAGAGAGTTTAAAAACAACTTGGATTCATATTATATGTCTTGGTAAAAAATTGATTTTTATCTCTCTTGGTCTTGGGAATCAGTAGAAGCCTTTATTTTTTTCCCTTGAATAAGATTTTATTTTGAAATAGTTTAAGATAAACAAGTTTTTAAAATAGTACAGAGGTTCCCAAAGAAACTTGTAAGCAAAGAAGTTCATCCAAACCAAAAAACTGATATAGGTATGCTATTAACTAGACTACAGATCATACTGTGATTTCATCTACTTTTCAGTCATCTTTTCTTCCCTTAGTATATAGTTCTATAAATTCCATGACATATATAGATTAGTGTATCACTACAATCAAGATAGAGTACTGTTCTATCAACATAAAGAAATTTATCTTTTAATAGTCACAACCCTCCACTTCCTCATACCATAACCCCTAATAACCACTGATCTGTTCTCCATCACTACATTTCATCATATTTAGGCTTTTAAATAAATAGAATCACACAGTAAGTAACCTTTTGAGATAGGCTTTTTTCCCACTTAGCCTCAATATATATTCAAGTTATTGTGTCTATTAATAGCTTATTCTTTTTCATTTCTGAGTAGTATTCTGTTGTAATGATGTACCACAGTTTGTTTATTCATTCATTCATTGAACGACAATTGAGTTTTTCCAGATTAGGGCTATTACAAATAAAGTTCCTATGCATTTTAGTGTTCTGGTTTTTCGTGAATGTAAGTTTCCATTTCTCTGAGATAAACACTAAAGATTGTGATTTCTATGTCATGTGATAAAGATATGGTTAACTTTATAAAAGACTGCCAAACTGTTTTTCAGAATAAATGTATCGATTTACATTCCCACCACCAATGCAGGAGAGATCCAGTTGTTCCACATATTTACCAGCACTTGATATTGTCAGCATGGTTTTACTTTTCCCATTCTAGTAAGTGTATAGTGGCATGTTATTGTAGCTTTACTTTGCTTTTCTCTAATAGCTAATGATATTGCATCAAAAACCTTTTAAACCTTTAAAAATGATATTATGATATAATGGGTAGGTAACTTTGGGAACTATGTAGAGAATTTAATGAGATGTCCAGGAATGAAAGACTAAGGAACAACTGAGAGTAGGGACACAAGTCAGGATGTTCAGCTATAGGCCAGAGAATAGATAAAGTTTGCCTGAAGTAAAGTATTGACAAAAGGCAAGGAGACGAGAGGAGAGGTTGGATTTGAGAAGCATTTGGAAGTCAATTCAAAAGGATTTAATGAACAGTTTATTGTGGGAATGAAAAAAGGAAGTTGTCCATGTCAATTCTTAGGTTTTAAGCTTCAAAAAAGTATGTAGATAATGGCTATAGTAATCAAAATTAAGAATAATAGAGGGAAATAGTTTGAAGAGAGGAAATGATAGATATTTTTGGCCATATTAAAACTGAGGTATCTACAGGACATACCAAAATATCTAACTCAGTAGGAAAAATATTATTCAGAAAGGACATTTGGTTTATGAAGAATAAAGACCTATTGGATTAAGTGGAATGTTTTACTTAAAAGTAGTTTCCTACTCTTTTCAGGAATATTATTGGCAATTAATCATTGACGTCTAAGCCAGTTCACATTAAAAATAAGACCACACCAAAAGACATTTTAGATTGAGAAACTAATGTGAACAATTCATGGGGAGAAAATTGAAATATGGCAATAGTCTATTGTACAGCTGTCTTGAAGGGGAATTTGAAGGCCATAACTGTCGAAGGATTTTCCTAACTTAACAGAAGCCTGTGTACACTACCAGAAGAACTGTGTACTTTTTCATGATCAGAGAAATCATTCAGGACAACGCAGTTAGCAAACCATAACTCAAAATCGATAGACCCCCACCCCCCGCATTTTTGTTATTTCATGATAAGATAATGGCAATATATAAAATAAGCATAATACTAATAGTATATAAACCATAAAGTAAAATGTTTAACATATATTATTTTATTCAACCCTAAACATACTCTATTATAACTTGGTGAGAAAAGTAGTAATATCTCCATGTTAAATATTAAAGAACCTTAAAACTAGAATAAATGCAAAGAACATGACACATGGTATGGATGACCTTTTTTTCTGAAAATAGTTTAAATTCCTTTCCCCTATACCAGTATTAGACTGAGAAATGGAGTCACTCCTGAGAACCATCTAAGTACTGGTATATCTGCTTGAATCACAAACACATGATTATAAGGCAAATGTAATCCATATTTATGTTGTTAAAAAAGATGAAAATCCATAAAATACTGTGATCATATTTAGAGAATTTTCAATCAAATGATTCTGTCAATCCCTAAATATGCTGATAGCAACAAAGAAACAGATGTTTGGTTTTATTCCATTGCCAGTGATATAGGAAAAAAAAAGCTATTAATAAGCATAAATTCTACTAAAGTTGAAAGACATGGAATATTCATATAAATGGAGTACATTTTACCACTTTTTATACTCAAGAAAATAACATGAAAAATAACGGTACAGGGTACTAGGCTTAATACCCGGATAGTGAAATAATCTGTACAACAAACTCCCATGACACAAGTTTACCTCTGCAATGAACCTGCACATGCACCCCAAACTTAAAATAAAAATTAAAAAAGAAAAAAATAGTTATATAGTAAAGAAAAAGTAGTAAGTGTCAGTGGGAGACTTCAAAATTACGAACAAAGTAAAAGAGGAACGAGGGTGGGGTGTCAGATCTAAATAAAAGAAATACAAAAAATAATAAAGAAACAACAAAATTTGCCGAAAATATCCATACTAGAGAAACTACTTTTTTAATAATCATGAAAAAAGCACGATTATATAAATAAAAGAAAAAAGCAATGACTACTAAAATAGAATATAAAACAATAAAGAAAACCTGTAGTAAACTAAGAAATTGTTGAGAAAAATATTATTGGTATTTTCAAAAGGCAAAATTGAAGTGGCAGTATTAAAAAAGGGTTGTTGCACATTGTGTATATTTAAAAGGCAAATTAGAAAAATGGCTTAATTACCTATGTAGCTTATTCCTGCAGAAGAAACATACCTCAAAAATAGAATGAGTCAACTCATGGTTAATCAACACATCAGGAGAAACAGGACATTCCAGCAATGAAAGAACCATCATTAAGGAAACAATTGAGGACAAACATCCTGACTAATGAAAAGCCCAATTCTTTGATATCACACACAGCTCAATTCAGGAATGATATTCCAAAAAATAATCAAAGTGCCTTTAGAACTATTACCCATGCTTTTACTTTCAGAAGGCATTTTGTAGTTACAAAAGAAAGAACAGAGATATTTGTAATTGTATCTATAAGGATGCAAACTGCCCTCTGCCCTAAAATCTTTAATGACTGTACCACTGCTGTAAATATATGTAAACATACTTTAGACACATGCAAGTTTTTTTGAGGTTATATCAATAACAGGTTTCATATAACAAACTAAAAATAAGCAAAAAAAAATGGAAAAAAGGTATGTAACATGCATTTACTATAGTTGACATGCAAACTTAGAGTCCCTGCTTTAAAAAATCAACAATGAGGCTGGGCGCGGTGGCTCACTCCTATAATCCCAGCACTTTGGGAGGCCAAGGTAGGCAGATCACTTGAGGTCAGCAGTTCGAGACCAGCCTGGCCAATATGTTGAAACTGCATCTCCACTAAAAATACAAAAATTAGCCAGGTGTGGTGGCAGGGGCCTGTAGTCCCAGCTACTCGGGAGGCTGAGGCAGGAGAATCGCTTGAACCCGGGAGGCAGAGGTTGCAGTGAGCCGAGATCACACCACACGCCACTACACTCCAGCCTGGGCGACAGAGCGAGACTCCATCTCCAAAAAAAAAAAAAAAACAACTATGAAGTTCAACAATTGCAAAATGTTTCATCAAAAGAGCTTATCAAGAGAATGAAAAAGAATGTAGCTATTAGAATTTATAAAGCTATAAACTCTATCAGTATAGAAAAAGATATATTGGAAGAAATAAAACAGTCGGTACTTTTAATGTATTCATTTTTTTCTCCCAATGTATCAAATATTGAATAAAAACATATATGCATGAAATATGGTGCTATAATCAAATGGATACTCAATAAATACTATCAATATATTGCGGCTTGAGGTGATAAAAATATACAGACAGGTCAGTTTGGAACCATGCATAAAATTATTTATGAAAAATAGAAGCTCCATATTCATTTATTTAACAAAGATGTATAGACTATGTGCTTAACAAAATAAACACTGAAAGAAGCCATCTTCATGGAAATACAGGATTATATTGGAAAAAAAAGTCACAATGCTTTCTTTCCTGATTTATTAAGGAAAATTACAAAGATTTTGGAAAGACTCAATAAAATATATTTACTTCGTTAAAAAAACACAAACCTATGCATACTAATAAGTAGAGAACCTCGGTTGCTGCTTCTGTTGATTACAGAGACTACTGGGATAAGGCAATCAAAACTAAGAAATAGTTTGCCAGTCTCTTGGAAGCCAGAGAAAAAGAAAAACACCAGAAACCTAGCCCTGGAATGTCATTGAATAGCTGTAGGATAGTGGCAAGGATGTCAGCATCTGTTAACACTCGATTTTCTCTTCTGCAAAAATGAAACTATTAGTATTCCACCATATTGCAATTAATATCACTTGAGCTAATGTATACAAGCAGTATGAAATCCCACAGGATTCACATGTAAAATATTGGATTTTTTATATTTTAATATGTAAAATGTAAGTTGTTTCTTTTCTCTCTGATACAAAATGCAGTTTTCATTCCACAGTTTCACTCTCATACACTTAATAACTTTTGTTAACGTAACAATACAGTGTGAGAGTTCCTGGGGCTATGCCTGACCCAAAGCAGACACTTAGTAAAATGTCTGTGGAACCTAAATTTATTTTAGGATACAATTGGAATCTAAACTAAAAGAGTTTTCAAATTCAGAATCAGGCATATTTGCTGCAAAGCATTATGGGTCTCATTTCCATTTCCAAATCCACCAAGTCCATCCTTTCACGCATCATGTTACTCAGGGATAAAGCACATCTAAGTGAAACAGAAGTTAAATCTGCTCTTTCATAACCCAGAGACATTAATTACAATGGAATAGCATGATAAACACCGTGAACGATATGGAGATTAATAGAAAAAATATGAAAAGAAAATGACAGCAGCTAGGAAGAAACAAAAAGGATGGGTGGAAATAAGGGAGGTTGACCTCCAAAGGGCAAGTAAAGTAGAACTAAAATAAAACCTGGTGATTTTGATCTGCATGTGTAATTAATATAGTTTCTGGTGGGGGGTGATGGGAGAAATGGGGATAAAGAAAAGCCCTGAGTAGCAACCTTCTTGCCTGAATTGTGAAGGCAACACGAATACACAGATCAGGTCTTGGGAAAAATAAATGTGACCCCTTAAAACTTGCACCATATTATTGAAATCTCTTTGACACGAGTAACCATAGAAGACACAGGTAACATATGGGTTGCTCTTTATGTAGGGCTTTAGCAGTCTATTCAGTCTTTTACCATGTGACTACTTTGTATGTGGAAAAATTGTTATATAAACAAAATAGAAGCATTTTCTCTTTGATACCAAGAGTAGAGCTAAGACCAATAAATCAATATTAAGGGAAAATTTTACCTTAGATATAAGAAAATAATTTTCTAACAGCTCAAATTATACTCAGTTGTTGTTATTAACTAACAACCCTTATGATATCTGCATACTAATACTTGTAAAATCAAGATTAATTTGATATTCATTTCTGGTAGGGGATGGGGTTATGTCATTTTCCTACAGTCTTGGAGAGAAAATAATTTGTTAAATGCAATTTGCTAGCATCTATTGGAAATCTTGTAAAGGTTATATATTTTTAATTTCACTTAATATTTCTGCTTTTATTTTTCTACACATGACCATAAATATATATCTTCATGTATGCATGATGAAGCATGGTGAGTAACAGATTTTTTAATGGAATAAGCTATTATGGTACTTTCATTCTATGAAATATTACATAGTTCTGAATCAAAATGAGAGGGATAGCTGTATAAAACCTAAGCTATTGTTAACAGAAAAAAAGCATGTAAACAAAATTATTAAATTATGGTTTTAATAAAATCCATATATATGAATTTGGACACGTGTATACACAAGTAAAGTCAGATAAAATGACAGAATATAACGTATGTTGAAATGATAGCAATGACTACCACTAAAAAAAATCAGAATAGAATGGTAATTTAAAATAAATATAAGACAGCAGTGGGCAGGATGAGGACACATTTAAATCTACATAATACTGCATTGTATAAGCTAAATTTTTCAAGACCTGCTTGTGTAATTATTTTTAAAAAGAAAACAGGTTTGTTTCCTTGTGTTGAGAATTATTCAACATGGAAAGTGCTACAGAAGAGAGCTCATTGACTCCATTTGTTCTAAAAAAACAAACAAGCAACAAAAAACCCTATATATTTTATACAAGTAGAAACCCTATATATTTTATACAAGTAGAAATAACTAGCAATATATTTCTATAGGGAGAAATAAGCCAGCATATTTTCAACGTTCTTAAGATTTCATTTCTAAAGCAAATAAAACAAGGCAAAGCCAATATTGTAAAAAAAATTAATCCTAAGTCTACATGAACTTAGCTGGGTACCAGTTGAGATATTTGAAGTTTATCTACCCTGTAGTCCTCACATTTAAAATTTTTCTCAATAGTTGAATGTAAGTTATTTACTTCTGGATTGAACAATAAAATGTAAATGGAGGTTTCCAGGAAGATGAATTGAGTGTGCCATACTGCCTGCCTCTGTAGGCTCCACCTCTGGGGGCAGGGCACAGACAAACAAAAAGACAGCAGTAACCTCTGCAGACTTAAATGTCCCTGTCTGACAGCTTTGAAGAGAGCAGTGGTGTTCCCAGCATGCAGCTGGAGATCTGAGAACTGGCAGACTGCCTCCTCAAGTGGGTCCCTGACCCCTGACCCCCGAGCAGCCTAACTGGGAGGCACCCCCCAGTAGGGGCAGACTGACACCTCACACAGTGGGTAATCCTCTGAGACAAAACTTCCAGAGGAACGATCAGACAGCAGCATTCGCGGTTCATGAAAATCCGCTGTTCTGCAGCCACCGCTGCTGGTACCCAGGCAAACAGCGTCTGGAGTGGACCTCTAACAAACTCCAACAGACCTGCAGCTGAGGGTCCTGTCTGTTAGAAGGAAAACTAACAAACAGAAAGGACATCCACACTAAAAACCCATCTGTACATCACCATCATCAAAGACCAAAAGTAGATAAAACCACAAAGATGGGGAAAAAACAGCAGAAAAACTGGAAACTCTAAAAAGCAGAGCGCCTCTCCTCCTCCAAAGGAACGCAGCTCCTCACCAGCAACGGAACAAAGAGAATGACCAGCAACGGAACGGAGAATGACTTCAACGAGTCGAGAGAAGAAGGCTTCAGATGATCAGACTACTCCAACCTACAGGAGGAAATCCAAACCAAAGGCAAAGAAGTTGAAAACTTTGAAAAAAATTTAGACGAATGTATAACTAGAATAACCAATACAGAGAAGTGCTTTAAAGGAGCTGATGGAGCTGAAAGCCAAGGCTCAAGAACTACATGAAGAATGCAGAAGCCTCAGGAGCCAATGCGATCAACTGGAAGAAAGGGTATCAGTGATGGAAGATGAAATGAATGAAATGAAGCGAGAAGGGAAGTTTAGAGAAAAAAGAATAAAAAGAAACAAACAAAGCCTCCAAGAAATATGGGACTATGTGAAAAGACCAAATCTACATCTGATTGGTGTACCTGAAAGTGACGGGGAGAATGGAACAAAGTTGGAAAACACTCTGCAGGGTAGTATCCAGGAGAACTTCCCCAATCTAGCAAGGCAGGCCAACATTCAGATTCAGGAAATACAGAGAACGCCACAAAGATACTCCTCGAGAAGAGCAACTCCAAGACACGTAATTGTCAGATTCACCAAAGTTGAAATGAAGGAAAAAATGTTAAGGGCAGCCAGAGAGAAAGGTCAGGTTACCCACAAAGGGAAGCCCATCAGACTAACAGCGGATCTCTCGGCAGAAACTCTACAAGCCAGAAGAGAGTGGGGGCCAATATTTAACATTCTTAAAGAAAAAAATTTTCAACCCAGAATTTCATATCCAGCCTAACTAAGCTTCATAAGTGAAGGAGAAATAAAATCCTTTACAGACAAGCAAATGCTGAGAGATTTTGTCACCACCAGGCCTGCCCTAAAAGTGCTCCTGAAGGAAGCACTAAACATGGAAAGGAACAACCGGTACCAGCCACTGCAAAATCATGCCAAATTGTAAAGACCATCGAGGCTAGGAAGAAACTGCATCAACTAACGAGCAAAATAACCAGCTAACATCATCATGACAGGATCAACTTCACACATAACAATATTAACTTTAAATGTAAATGGACTAAATGCTCCAACTAAAAGACACAGACTGGCAAATTGGATAAAGAGTGAAGACCCATCAGTGTGCTGTATTCAGGAAACTCATCTCACATGCAGAGACACACATAGGCTCAAAATAAAAGGATGGAGGAAGATCTACCAAGCAAATGGAAAACAAAAAAAAGGCAGGGTTTGCAATCCTAGTCTCTGATAAAACAGACTTTAAACCAACAAAGATCAAAAGAGACAAAGAAGGCCATTACATAATGGTAAAGGGATCAATTCAGCAAGAAGAGCTAATTATCCTAAATATATATGCACCGAATACAGGAGCACCCAGATTCATAAAGCAAGTCCTGAGTGACCTACAAAGAGACTTAGACTCCCACACAATAATAATGGGAGACTTTAACACCCCACTGTCAACATTAGACAGATCAACGAGACAGGAAGTTAACAAGGATACCCAGGAATTGAACTCAGCTCTGCACCAAGTGGAACTAATAGACATCTGCAGAACTCTCCACCCCAAATCAACAGAATATACATTTTTTTAGCACTGCACCACACTTATTCCAAAATTGAACACATAGTTGGAAGTAAAGCTCTCCTCAGCAATTGTCTATGTTTTTATGTAGTCTGTAATACTTTCCTCTTATAGACCAAACTTCAGGTTTTTTAGGAAAAGTTGGAGCTCTGTGCATTATGCCCCACCAGCTTCAGGTTCCATTGTCAACCTACCCCATACGTATAAACCATCTGTTCGTCATGTTTTGGCTTTATCCAAACATCTTCACAAAGAGGCCATCTGTTCCCTTCTTTTAGATATCTATTTATGGCACTTTCTCTCTTATCTATTTTACAACATTTTTGCATATGTCAAAAATTCAATTACTAGTCACATATTAGTATGTCGTCTACTCAGGAGGAGTCTTAGTGATCCAAAGTGCATGGATAGTACCGAGAGACTGATAGATCTATCTAAAATGAAGGGTATGGACATTGCCATAAAAGCCTCACAATGCATGAAATGGATAATAGATGTGAGATTCCCTGGGGAGCTGTGTGCACGTGACTTCCAAAACGCTGTCATTTCACTATGTAGAAGGACAATATGAATTTACATGGAAATTTATTTCCACCATCAGTAATATATTCCTATTGCAAATGTACATTTTAGAGAAAGTATATTTTCAGTTGAAGTGAAAAAAAAAGAGATGCACAAATAGATGTTTGAATGGCATTTGTATAATTCTGGGTCAAGTTTTTAGGACAAGCTTACCAAAGAAATTTTTAAGGTTAAATAAAAAGCAAATTTTAGTGTATCAGGGTGTTTGCTAAAAGCAGAGCACTGTGACAAACATAAAAAGCAGAAACATTAAAAGCAGAAAACTCTTTATTTTCTCTGCTTCCCTGGGAGAAAAACACCAACAGAAGAATTCGGTAGATAAATGATGTTTCCAACTGTGTTGGGAACTTGGAGTTGTGAGATAACAATTGGGACCACAGATTCAGACACCATCATCACCAACTATTTTTGTTCACATTTAAAAATAAAAAGTCAAAAGAAATTTACTAAAATCTGTATATGTCTGGTTACATATTTATATGGTTAAAATTTAATATATATAATTTTATATAACTGCATTATCTATCAATGTATCTATACATCTGTAACTTTTATCTACAAATATGTTTCCAAGTTCTATGGATAATAGATGAGCAAATCAATTACATATGAAGGTTATCTAATAAACATTATCAAATTTATTTAGACATCAACACTTGTAGGAAGATTTTGGTATAATAAAATAGACAGATAGATAGATAGATAGATAGATAAGGTAGATAGGCTAGATAGTTCAACACAAAATGTTAACATAAAATATGACAAAGGCACTGGAATAGAAATAAAGCAAATATGTTAAACATAACCGTAGCTTTGAGAAAGCATAAAGCAAGCCTGAATAAAAACTTCTACTATTCCAGATGAAGAGATAATTTTATGAAACATAAAAGGATATGTTTATTGCTTGGAAAGGATTGTAGTTTTTCTTAGCATTCATGTCTAAGTGAAATTTCTTACACAGATGTACACAGAAAAGCAATATTATTTTCTCCAATAAGAACACAGACTAGTGACTCTTGATTGATCATCCACAGTGCATTACACTCAGCCATTTTACAAATGGGCTCTCAAATTTTGACATTAGGGAAGTAAGTCAATTTGAGCCAAGAGTTTCAATAAAGCTATGCACGAACATGAATCTTGATATAGGTTAAGATTCTGGATCTAGAGCAGCCTTTGACCTCCATCTGCCTAGAACAGACATAATTTTCTTTTCATTCATTTTTGGTGAAAAATATAGGCTGGTGTGATTATTTCTGTGATGTAATTCAATAACTAAAATGTACACTCTTGTCTCAAAGTCCTCAACATCACCTTGTCCTAAACTCCTGGTCCAAGACCAATCTACCCTCCATCCTCTTGTTGCCTGGATCCCTTTTCTTTGTGGGTATGACCATTGGAGCACTGAAAAGATGATATAAGTGTCAGGTGAATTCCATGTTATACATTTGATTTATGAGGGAATGCAGGCTGCTTTGGGAATTTCCTCTGGCACCTTAGCCCTTTTTCTCCTTTCCTTTTCTCCATATTCCAGGACCATCTGTAAAAGGCAGGGATGAGAGAGAGTTCAATGCCTTTCTCCTCCCCTTGATAAGAAGGGGTAGGATTATGGATAACTACAACTTTGAGAATTCTCCCTCTTACCTTCTGTAGTCCTCTAGATGTGGTCCAGGGGATTGGGGTTTTCAGAAGTGGTGTTTTTGCTGTGCCCTGTCCTAGAAGGCCCTGCAGAAGCTGACTAAAATGGGTAATTTTCTGAACTTAGAAATTGGAGCACTTAGTTTACTCTGCTTGTCAGCATTCTCACGGAAGCAAGAAACAGTCCTCAAAAGCACTTTATAACTGATACCATATAAAAACAATTTTTGCTACATTCGACATGACATACTCTTACAGTGATGTCTCTGGCAGAACAATGCACACTCAGTGAGTTGAGGAACAAGTTGCTGCAAAGAAGTGATAAGGCTTCATGTAAAGGCATGCTAGTGTTAAAGAAAGATGCCCTATATGCCAGAAATTGTAAGAAATTTGCATTATGACTGTATCAGATAATATGGTCAGGACAGTAAAGAGTTTTTTGGTTCTCCTCAAATTAAAAACAACTAATTCAATAAGTATGGAAATATGTTTTCAATATTCTATAACTTTTTTATACTTTAATTCCTTCAAGAGTGTCATTAAATAATCCAGTTTTTTTAAGTATCCTGCAAACACCAAAGGTTGACAATCAAAGTTTTAAGTCAACATGTGAAGTTGCCATTGCTACTTATCAAGGCAATAAAGTCAATGACTGATATATTTTTTCAGTTTTTTAAATTTATTTTTTAATTAAATTTTAGTGTTTATTTTAGATATGGGGGGATACATGTGCAGGTTTGTTACATAGGTATATTGCATAATCCTGAGTTTGGGGGTATGGATCCTGTCATCCAGGTAGTTAGCATAGGATCCAATAGGTAGTTTTTCAACCCTTTCCCACCTCTCTCTCCCCTCTTTTAGTCCCCGGTGTCTATTGCTTCCATCTACATGTCCATGTAAACTCAATGTCCAGCTCTTATTCATTAGTGAGAACATGTGGTATTTGATTTTCTGTTTCTGCATTAATTCACTTAGGATTATGGACTTCAGCTTAATCCATGTTGCTTAAAAGGACATAATTTGATTCTTTATTATGACTGCATAGTGTTCCTTGGTACCTGTATGTACCACATTTTCTTTATCCAATCCACCACTAATGGATACCTAGGTTGAGTTCATGTCTTTGTTATTGTGAATAGAACAGTAAAGAAAATATAAGTGCGTGTACTTAACTGATGTATTTGTACAGACCACCTCTTAACAACTCCATTTTGACTGGCCTTTTTGTATGTCGTCTGCTCTGATGAAACAGCGTCAAGACAATTTAAGAGTATCTTTGCACAAGTTCTTCCCTTCTGAAACACTCTTCTCTCTTTACTTTTTTGCCCTTTGGATCTCATTTGAGCCAAGCCCTCCTATTGCACATCTCCTTGTCATTTTTTAATTATACTTTCTCTGTGACCAGACTACATAGACTAAAAATCCACTCTCACCACTTAATTACATGTGAACATGAACAGACTCATCTAGCCTGACTTTGTCATCTTTTTCTTATTTGTCAAATAGAGATAATAACAGTAGCTTTTCATAAGGTTGTTGGGAAGATTGAATGAGTTAAGATAAAGCACTCAAACTATATAAATGTCTTATTGTACTCAGAGCTATGTTAAGTGTTAGGTATTATTACATTTATTATCAGTATTCACATTTTATTATTGTTGTATTGGTGGGCATACAGGCTGCTTTGGATACCCTGGGAATCATGTTAATCTTTCTCTACCTTTATATTCTCAGCATCTAGTTCAATGCCACACACACACAAACATGCTTCACAAATGTCTGTTGACAAATCAGGTAAATGGCATGGCTTACTGATGTCTAACTGTGGAGATAGTTATCACTCATGGGCCCACTGAGAGCAAAAAGAAAGCTGACAATGGTAAAATAAACTCAGATAGGACTCAGAAGGACCTGTTTTTACTGACTTGGTTTTAGGATATATCTACACATAGAGAAGCGTTCGGACAATTATAGTTAGCAAATCAAGCAACAACAGTGTTTCAGACACTTTTATACCAAAATAATTTTCCTCACTTTAAATATAGCAGTTTTTCCATAAAAATGGCATGCATCAGCAAGGTAAAAAAGATACCATGTGTATATATCACTCAGACTTCCTGCAGAAAAAAGATGACACTCAAATTTGGTAATTTGAGGAATGTCTAAAACAAGCACTATTTGAATAGATGTGGGCAGGTTATAGGAAAATTGAAAAGGAAGGCAGTAACCTACAGACTATGCCTGAAAGGATGGAGGGAAATAAGAGTTTGCAGGAATCTGGAGGGAAAACTGTGTGGAGAGAACACTTGACAAGAAATGTGACCTCTGGTGGGCAGATCAGTCAGCTTGGAGAGAGGAAGCCAGGGAAACAAGTACCTTACTTCTCTCTTCCTCAGATACCTTTTCCTGCCGTCATTCCTCCAGAAGTTTCTCTTGACAGCCAAACAACCAGGAGCCAGTAGAAAGAAAACTCTAAGTTAGAACTCACACACGTCAGTTTCATGAACACAGAGCAGGGTAGGGAAGGCTGAAGAGTAATTTGGAAGAGCAAAGGAAAGATGTCGAATGCATAAAGTCCACTAAGTTTGGGAAACATTGGGTTAAACAAAGCTACATAATTTTCTTTTCTGCAGGATTTCTCAGATCCTTTAAATGTGAATGCAAACTACAACTCTCCAGGAAGAGGGAAAAAATGTGCCAAGCATGCCAAATGTTTAACCACACAACCTCCCATTCTTGTAGAACACCTTAACAGACTCTTGTCCCATGTGACACACTCTAACATTTTCCAATGTTAGTATCTTGTAAATATTCAGGGTCAACCCATCATACCCCAAGTATTAAATTAATTTTGCCTGAAGAGTTGGTGTCTTAATTGGTAGAATTAGTATATTCCATTTCTCTAGCCCAAATTGTAGAACTTTCAGAGCTTCAAATAATTCTGGGCATTCCTCTACTCTGATGGGTTCAATCGGCAGATAAAATAATGAAGACATTGAAAAATAAAGTCGCTTGGGCAAAAACGAGAGCTATTCCTCTTGCACCAAAATTTAGAATTTTAACATGAGTCTCTAGACTCGGTCTTACAACTTTCCAAACTATCAGGTTTAGAACACAATGGAGTTTTTAAAACCAGATTCAGAAATTAATGCACACACAGTTAATATAGGTAGATGGTACATCCTATTTTCTGCACTGCTAAGATATCCACTAGGCCTATATTACTTCCATCAGAAGCAAATAAATTTGCCCTTTTCATAACCCAAAAGTAGAATTCAAGAATTCATTGCCCTCAAAATTGGTTCACCCAACTTGATTTTTTTCTGTAAAACTGGGTTCTAAATAAAGTTCTCAGTATATAAATGAACACAGAGTGTTGTGCAAGTGGGCTTGCCCTTGGTAACAGACACAGCTGTGCCTATCAAACACAAAATATGGTATTTAATTTTGGAAAATTGCTAACAGCAGGCAGAACTGTACAAAGGAAAGTCACCTTCAACTGTCACCTAGGAAGAAACAAAGATATCAGGAACAGTACCATTTTTCCAAATGTTTCCAGGCTACAGTTGCATTCGGTGCCTTTCCAGAACAACTGAACAATGAAATGGATAGTAATCTGCCAAATGCATACAGCTGTATGCCTGTTTTCCTGGGGTTTATATTAGGGCCTGGGGAAACAAAGTTAAGGAAGTAAGGCTGCAGGGTAGCATCAGTCCATCCACTATAGTCCGATTCAGATTCAGATGGTCAGATTGGACTCTAAAGTGGAATTCCTAGTATAATACAGTCTTCACTTCCTTACAATATGGTTCCTGGTTTTTTATCCTTTACGTTGGCACTGTTCAAGCAGCACATTTTGCCACCATGCAATTATCTTTTGGCAACCCTGGGCAGTTGTTGTTTGTGGAGAGTGTGTGGTGGCATTGAACACCTACATGCTTATATATACAGGTGGCTGAAGTTAACCAATTATTCAGAGGCAGTTAGATGAATCATGCATTTAAGGACTTGTCTGATTCACATCTCTACCTCATATGTAGAGGATTCTTTTCTCCCCAGTAAAATTTTATGGAGATTTACTATGGAGGGCAGATGTGCTGGTTCTAGCACGACGTGGTGGACTGGAATGGAATCAAAGATGCTCTTCCAATCTTTTAGGTGTAATACATCAGTGTTAACACTCACTCATTCATATAGCAGGGGTAAATAATCAAGAGTGTGGCATCATAGAAGCAGCAAGTCTTGAATTGTGGAGAGTCCTGCTTTTTTGTTGTCATTTTATTTTCAGTTTAGCTGAAAGTACACAGTCTTCCTTGTTTCGAACATTTTCTACTTTATGGCAATAGATTAAATTTAATCATGTTTTAGTTCACAAATTGTTTCTTGGTGTATATGTGTTTTTATTTTCCACTATGTCATTATTCCAAAAGAATCTACTGCTCTTCTGGTTAAATTCGCTTACCAACACTCTTTGCCTCTAAAAAAAAAGATGAATAACAGAGCCCAATTTGAAATGGCCATCTCTGTTACTCCAATTAACATACTGTATATACGTGTGTATTGCAAAAAATAACTAGATTTTCCTGGGCTTGGCATCACTAAAATGTCCAAAAAATATCTTATTCCCATGAACATAAACTTCAAAATGTCAACTGCATTTACAATTATGAATAATAGCGAGCTGCCATTCCCAAGGGAAATAATGAAAGAAATATTTCATAGTTTTTTTAGCAAAAACAAATGATTTGCATGTTTCCACCAAAAGGGAATAAAACCGTTAATATGGAATATCCCTCAGGTCTCCTTTTTGGAAACAAAATTCATAACCACCTGCCATTTGATGAAATCTAATAAATTCCTAATATAGCATACACTCCTCCAAAGTGTTCATTGTTCAAAGAAACTCAAGTGAAAATAAGGTATGAAATCCTTATGTGCACAGAGAGATAAAGATAAATGCAGCATTTTTAAAATATCTGTTTTTTTCTAGTACAAAGAAAACATATCGGAAATATTAAAGTGAGAATAATTTCATCCCACAGCAATAGTTTCAACTATACTTTAATTCTACCAGGTAGACTCACACATTTCCTTAATGGGTGTAAAATTTATTAACAACATTTTAGTTCTGTTTTTCATAGAGAATACACATAAACCCTGTGTTTTGATTCATGACATTTTATTCCTATTATTTATCCAAAGGGTAATTAAAATTTCTTTTTTGATGATGTAGATGGAATATGAAAATAGAAGGGAGGTTATTGACCCATTAAATAGTTAAATGAAAATCACCTTCACAGATGTTTGGTGGAGAAAAATATGCTATGCATAGAAAAGCTGAAATGTTTTTCCACAAATGTTAGGCATTGGGCTGAAATTACAATAGCCTTTCATGTCCAGTTTTGTTACAATTCCATTAAGGCAACTGCAGAGATTGGCAAATAGCTGTTACCATAGGAGAGTCACCATATGTAATATAGTTTGTGCTAGTCATTGTGTAAGCATTTTATATACATACTCTCATTGACACATTTAACAGCCTGTGAAGTTCCTATTTTATTCCCACCTCACATATTGAGAAACTACAGCTCAGAGAAACAAAGTAAACTGGGTTCCTACTTGAACCTAGTTTTTATGTACTATGCATGGTTTCATATGTTTACAGATATACATATATAAAATTTTATTTATATATAATATATTATATATATAAAATAAACCGTAAAGTCAGAAATTTAGAATGAAATTTAATATGACTATAATTTATTTGCTGATTCCAAGATAGGCATCTATATTTTCCCAACATTAAAATAAAGATCATCTGGACAATCTTCTAACCAACTCCGAACAGTTCTTTCTGGAGTTTTTCTCCTTTTATTTCTCCTACTTGGAGTTGTAGGAGAAATCTGTGTCTCAGAGAAATAAACAAAAGGTGTTCTATTTTAAAATAAAAAGACAGAAATTAGCAGCTTGGACATTTCACAAAAGAAGCTAATTAATTACCAAGCTAACTGGAGGTTTCCTCCATTCATGGGCATACTGGAATTGCAAAATCTAGTTGTGAGCATAGAATAATATCTATAAAAAGTCTTCAAGATAGCATGAAAAACATAGCATAATATCAGTAACAAATATTTTATAATGTCTAAAATTTTATAACTTCTTTTGTCTATTTTCTTAAAACTCCCTTATGCCATAATTTGGCTGTATTTATGTGATAAACACACTCTTATCTTTGTAATGAATTTTTAAGGAAAAGACAGAACCATGTAAAATATGCTTTTGAAAAATGGGCACATTATGCATGTGAATGCTCTCTCTCTACTAATTAATGTAATGTGGCAGTATCCAACAAACCAGAGCAGATGGGGCTCTAAGTTGTACCAGCCTGTGCCGTTCTTAGGGGGAACAATTTTTGTTCACATCTCTAAATAAAGAGAGTGAGATTTTGGGAAGGATAGTATAATTTAACAAACAGCAGAGAGTGTGACCATTCAGACTGCTTTTTCCTGTCAACCACTTGAATGCAAAACCTGTTTCAGAGATGAAGCAATAGAAAGTATTGGAAGCAAGACAGATACGAGTTGGAATCCCAACCATTGCCATGGGTGACCACTAAACCTCAGCTTCCTCATCGGCAGTATGGGGATAACCATAGTAGCAAACATTTCTAAAGGTAATTGTGAGAAGTACTTTTATGACTGCACAATTAATGCTGCTTCTAGTACCACTACAACTGCTGCTATTCTATTACTATCAGTGCCTCTATTACTATCAGAGCCACAGAGCTCTAGCTTATAAGCCCATCTATTCATTTCTAGACTGACATGATCATTTTTGCATATTCTCATTGCCTCCCATTTCTACCTTCTCTAACTTATCCTGCAAATCACTACCTAATTATATGTCAATATTCTGTTTTGAACTCTAGGTAAGTGCTTTCTCTATTTCAATTTTAAAAAAGAAATTCTTGCTCCAAGTCAGTGATTCTCCACCAGGGATAATTGTAATGTACAGAGAACCTTTAGTAATGTCTGAACAAAGCATCTTGACCCACAGGGGACATTTAGCAACATCTAGATGCACTTTTGGCTGTCACAACTAGAGGTACAGGTACTACTGGCATCTAGAGATAGAGGCCAGGGAAGCTTCTAAACATCCTATAATTCAGACTCCTCTTGCCTGAACATGAAGTACACTTGGGGCAATAAAAGAAATCACAGCAAATCTTGCTGTGCGCCCCTCTGCGCCGGAGCCGGCGCCGTGCCGCTCTCTGCGCCTTCTTTTCTCACCATGGGGAAGCGTTTGGGGTCGTCTTGAGGGACCCCCTAGATGCTTCTACTCAGAGCCCCCAAAGCCGGGGAGCCTCCACTCCTCTGTCTGCAGCCTCCCCTGTAGGTTCTCGCTACCCAGGGTTCAGTGGCCTGGGGGCTGATGGAGGTGGTCGCCTCTGCCAAGGCCCCTCCCGGCACCTCCCTGGCTCATCCAGGCCACCTTCCTCCCACGCTCGCTCACGCAAAGTGCTCTGGTCACCAGGAGCCCTTCCTGACCAGCCCCGGCCCCTTCTTGGCCTTCGCCCACCTGGCCTCCCCTGGAGCCCTGACCTGGGTGCCGGGCCTGCTGGGTCCAGAGCCCACCCCGCCCTGAACAACCCCGAGTCTCAGCCACCCTCAGCTCTTACCCTTTCACAGCTGGGGACTGGAGCCTGGGCCTGCGCCTCTCCGCGCCTGCGCCGCCGCTGTGCCCCTCCTCGCCGCTGTCCGCCTCTCAGCCGCTGTGCCCCTCTCCGCCGCTGTCCGCCTTTCCGCCGCGCCGCCGCTGTCCGCCTCTCCGCCGCGCCGCCGCTGTCCGCCTCTCCGCCGCGCCGCCGCTGTCCGCCTCTCCGCCGCGGCGCCGCTATCCGCCTCTCCGCCACGCCGGCACCGGCGCTGTGTGCCTTTGCAAGGGCGGAGCTGCGTTCTCCTAGGCACAGACCCGGAGAGCATTGCGAGGGCGGAGCCGCGTTCTGCTCTGCACAGACCTTGGGGCACTGCCTCGCTTTGGGACAACTCGGGGCCGCATCGACGGTGAATAAAATCCTTCCTGTTTGCAGCCCTGTTTGTGGTTGGTGGCAGCGATGGACAATGCAGCCAGCCAGAGCGTAGAAAGGCATCGGGGTAAGTGCACTATCCAGGCTGCACTGCGGGTGGCCTGGGACGGGTTGGGAGCCCTATCTCAGGTGTCACTGCCCATCTTGGGTGGCTGGTTGGGTGTGCTATCTGAGGCTGTGCTGCCTGCACCTGGGGGGTGGTTTGGGGGCTCAAACCGGGGCTGCACTGCCTTTGGCGGGGAGCCGGTTGGGGGCACTATCCCAGACGGTATTGCTGGCAACAGTGAGGTGGGCTAAGTGTGCTATCCGGGGCTGCACTGTGCGGCTGTGGGGTGGGGGGTGGCAGTTTCGGGTTGAGGGCACTATGGGGTGCTGTAATGCCCATGGTGCGGGGAGGCGGGGCGGTTAGGGTATGTTGGGTGTGCTATTGCGGGGGGCGACACTGCTGGTGGTAGGGGGCAGGATGGGTTGGGGGCCATATCAGGGGCTGCACTGATTGCTTTAGCTAGGATTTCAGGTACTATGTTAAACAACAGTGGTGACGGGGGGCATCCTTATCATGTTCCAGATCTTAGAGGAAAAGCTTTCCATTTTTCCCCATTCCATGATTCTAGCTGTGGGTGTCTTTCCTGTAGTTTTTATTATGTTGCGGTATGTTTCTTCTGTGCCTGTTTCTTTGAGGATTTATAGCATGAAGGGATGTTGAATTTCATCAAATGCTTTTTCGGTTTCAGTTGACGTGATCATACTGTTTTTGTCATTTATTTGGTTGATATGATGTATCACATTGTATGTTGAGTGACTCTTGCATCCCAGGGATACATTCCCACTTGATCATGATGAATTATCTTTTTAATGTATTACTGAATTTGATTCACTGGTATTTTGTTGAGGATTTTTGCATCAATATTAGAGATACTGGCCTGTAGTTTCCTTCTTTGATGCTTTTATCTGATTTTTGTATCACAGTAATAATGGTCTCATAGAATAAGTTTGGAAGTATTCCCTCCTGTTTTTCAAAATAGTTTGAGCAGGATTCGTACTAGGTCTTTAAATTGTTTGCTGTGAAGCCATCAGCAGTGAAGACATCAGTTCCTGGGCTTTTCTTTACTGGGAGACTTTTTCTGATGGCTTCAATCTCATTACTTGTTACCAATCTGTTCTGGTCTTGGATGTTTTCATTGTTTAACCTAAGTAGGTTGTATACATCTAGGAATTTGCCAATTTCTACTAGGCTTTCCAGTTTATTGGCATATAATAGCCAGTTATGATCCTTTGAATTTCTGAAGTATTAGTTGTAATGTCTCCTTTTTTTAATCTGTTGATTTTATTTATTTGAATCTTGTCTCTTTTCTTAGGCTGGTTAAAAGTTTGTCAATTTTGTATAGCTTTCCAGAAAACCAACTTTTCGTTTAATCTTGTGTGTTTTTTATTTCAATTTTGTTTCTGCTACGATCTTAGTTATTTTCTTATTTTCTGTTTAGTTTGTTCTTACTTTACTAGTTCTTTAAGATGTATTGTTTATTTGAAGTTTTTCTTTTGTTTGGATGGTAGGCACTTATAGCTGTAAATCTCTGCCTTTGTACTGCTTTCTGCGTAACAAGTTTTGGTATACTGTGTTTTCATTACCCTTTGTTTCATGAAATTTTTGAATTTCTGTCTTAGTATCTTCATTGACCCGCTAGTCATTTATTCAGGAGGGTAGTATTTAACTTCCATGTGATTGTATTCTTTCCAAAATTACTTTTCTTATTGATACCTAGTTTTATTCCTTTGTAGTGAAAGAAGATGGCCACGGAGACAGACAGCAGCGTGGTTAGAGTGGTAGGAGCCGGCCATCAGCGAGAGCTGCTCCTTGCCTGGCTGCTGGGTGCTAGAGCCTGCGGCCCACTGGCTTGCCTCACTGTGGTTGGTGGTGGCGGTAACAGAGACTGCAGCACAACCAGAGTGGTAGGACAGGGGCTATCCAGGGCTGCACCTTTCGCAGTGTGGGGTGGGTTGGGGGCGCTATCCAGGGTGTCATTGCCTGCATTAGGGGTACTGGTTGGTAGCACTCCACAGGGCTGCACTACCCACGGCAGGGAGGGTGGGTTATGGGTGCTTTCTGGGGCTGCAATGCCCATGGAGGAGGACAGGTTAGGGCACTATCGGGTATACGCTACTGGTGGCATTGGGGGACGGAGGTGGGGGGCGCTATTGAGGGCAGGGCTAGCCGTGGAGGGCGGGCGAGTTCGGTGCTATCAGGGGCTGCACTGCTGGCGGCGGTCAACAGAGTTGGCATCCAAGGAAGGAGTGGTTCTCCTCTCCCTGACTCCACACTCCAGAGGGCGACCCACTCTTGGTCATACTGGAGTGTGGCAGGGCACGCAGCGTTTGCATGGGAATCCTGAGCATGGCAGAGCCCCCACACCCACCGTGGTTCCTGGGCCTGTGCACTCTGGGTCTGTGCCTCAGAGGCTGCCAGGCACCCCTGGGGACACCACGGGGGACAGGGCCCTGTGTGTGGAGGCGTCCGGAACAGGAATTGGCACCTGGGTGTGGAGGGCTGGTTGGGTCTGAATTTTTCTGCTTCTCCTGTTCCCCGAGGAGTGCAGCCCCGGTGGGCCCAATGGTTCCTGTGGAGTGGGGAGCTGGAAGCTGTGGTGTCTCCAGCACCCACCCCAGACTCCAGTTCCCAGACAGCTTGGGCCAAAAGGAGAGGCTGGACTTTGGAGGGTGGGTGTGAGTGCCTTTGCTGAAACTGGCCCCTGCCACCCAGTGGCTGGCATGACAAGTCGAGGCTCTAACACTTCCACTCCTCACAACTTCCTCTAGGCTTTTCTGGCTTTGCCCACCCAGCTGCTCCGTGCCAGGAAGAGGAGGAGACACCTAGAGCCTGCAACACCACGGCTCGCCTCGCTGCAGGTGGATGGCAGTGACGGAGGCTGCAGTGCGCCAGAGCGGTAGGAGAGCGGCTGCGCTAGGAGGGCAGGCGGCTGCAGGCAGGGTTGGGAGTCAGGCTTACAGCGATGGACGGGCTGCAGCAGTGGCCAGGTGGTAGGAGCCTTGTAGGGAGGGCTGGTGCATTGGCAATGGGCCTGGCTTTGCCCTGCGCCTGCCGTGGATCTGGCCCTGTACTGCCCTGCCTTGCCCTGTACCTGCCCTACTGTTACCTGGACTGTCTCGGCCCTGTCCTGCTCTGGTCCCATCCTGACCGTGTCTTGGCCCTGTGCTACCCTGTCCCTGCCCTGGTCTTGCCCTGGCACTGGCCCTGCCCTGAACCTACACTGGCCTGACCTTGGCTCTGGCCCTGGCTCTGGCCCTGCCCCTTGTCCTGACCCTGGTCCTGTCATGGCACTGGCCCTGCCAATGGTCATGGTCCTGCCCCTGTTCTGGCCCTGACCTGGCCTTGGAAATGTCCTGGCCCTGCTTTGGCCCATCCCTGCCCTGGCCCCACCATGGGCCTGCCTGTTCTGCCCTCTCCTGGCACTGACCTTGCCCTGTCATGGCCCAGTGGTGCCATTGCCCTGCCTTACCCTGCGCTGGTTGTGCCTTGGCCCCGCTTGGTGCTGGCCGCTCCCTGGACCTGCCCTGGACCTGCCCTGACCCTGCCTTGGCTTTTGCCCTGCCCTCACTATGGGCTGGCCCTGGCCCTAGCCCTGGTCCTGCCATATCCCTGGCCCTGCCCTTATCCAGGCCTTGCCCCTGCTGCTGCCCTGGCCCTGGCCTGGAACCTGGTCCTGTCAAGGACCTGCCCTGACTCTGCCATGGCCCTGGCCCTGCTCTGCCTTGTTCCTGGCCCTGACCCAGACCCAGACCCATTCCTGGCTCTGCACTGGCCTTTCCCTGGCCCTGAGCTGGCAGTGGTCTGCCCCTGGTCTTGCCATCACCCTGCCCTGCTGTGCTCTGGATGTGTCATCACCCTGCCCTGCCCCTACTCTGCCTTTGACCCTGCCCTGGCCTTACCTTGGCCCTCACCCTAGTCTTCGCTAGGCCCAGCACAGACCTGGCTCTGACCCTGGCCCTGGTCTTTGTCCTGCCATAGCCTTGGCCCTGAAGTGGACTTGGAGGTGTCCTGGCCCTGGTGTAACATGGCTCTTCTTTGGCCTGTCTCAGCCCTGCCCCTACCATCGCCTTGCCCTGCTCTGCCCTGCCCCAGTACTGACCCAGCCATGCTATTTCCCTTCCCTACCCTGCCTTGGCTGTGCCCTGGCTCGGTTCTGGCCCTGGCCCCGGCCTTGCCCTGGACATGCTCTGACACTGCCTCAGCCTTGGCACTAGCCTGGCTCTTTCTTGGCATCAGCCCTGCTCTCTCTGTGGACTGGCTCTTGTCCTTTCCTGCCCTGGCCATACCATGCCCTGCCCTGCCCTGCCCTGACTCAGCCCTGACTCAGCCTTGGCCTTGGCATTGTCCCTGGTCCTGCCATATTTCTTGCCCTGTCCCTACCCTAGTCTTGGCCCTGACCCTTACCTTGCTGTGGCCCTGCCCTTGCCCTAACGCAGCCCCTGGTCCTGTCATGGCCCTGCCCTGGACCTGTCCTGGCCCTGGCCCTTCCTTGCTTGAGACCTTGCCCTGGTTCTCCCCTGGCCCTGACCCTGAAATGCCTGGCCCTACCCTGGCCTTGCACTGCTCTGGCCCTTGCCCTGACTCTGGTCCTGTCACTGACCTAGCCCCAGCCCTGTTGCTGGTCTTACCATGGCCCAGACCCTGCCTTGGCCCTTCCCTGACACTGTCCTGGACCCTGGCTGTGCCAAGAACCTGCACTGTCCTTGCCCTTGTTTTGCTCCTGCCCCGAACCTGGTCCTTCCCAGGCCGTGGCCGTGGCCCTGGCCCTGGCCCTGCCCAGGTCTTGGCACTGGCCTGGCCCTGCCCTGCCCTGGCCCTATGCTTTCCTGGCCCTGCCTTGGCCCTAGCCTGGCTTTGACCCTGCCCTGGCCCTACCTTGGCCTTCACCCTAGCCTTACCTGGGCACTGTGTTTGACCTGGCTATAGCAAAGACCTGGTTGTAGCCCTGGCCCTGCCGTGGCCTTGTCCCAGACCCTAGCCCTGCCAGGTACCTGTCCTGGCCCAGCTCTGGGCCTGGCTTTGTCCCTGGTTCTTAGATGACCCTGGCCCTGCCCCTGCCCTTGCCCTTGCCATGGCACTGGCCTTGGACATGTCTGTGGTCCTAACCCTGGCCCTGCCCTGGAGCTGCCACTGTCTTGGCCCTGCCCTGGCTCTGGCCCTGCCCCAGCCCTGGCCCTGCCCCGGCCCCAGCCATAGACCTGCCCTGGTTGGTCGTGCCCTACCTTAACCCTGTGCTACCCTGGGCCTGCTCCACCCTGCCCTGGCCCTGCCCTCCCTTTGGGCCTGCTCTGACCCCGCCTTGGCCCTCACACTGGCCCTAGCACAGACCTGGTCCTATCTGTGGCCTTGGCCTGGCATTGACTCCTGCTCCTGACCCTGGTCCTGCCATGGCCCTGGCAGCCCTTACCCTGGCCCTGTCTTGACCCTGGCCCTGAACTGGCCCTGCCCTGACCTGGCCCTGAAGTGGATTTGCAGGTGTCTTGTCCATGATTTAACCTGGTCTTACCATGGCCCTGTCCCTCCCCTGGCTCTGTCCTGGTCTTGTGCTGACCCTGACCCAGACCTTGGCCCTGCCCCAGCCTTGTCCTTGACCTGGCCATGGCCCTGCCTCTGCCGTGGACCGGCACTGGCACTGGCATGGACCCTGGCCCTGGCCCTTCACTACTTAAGGCCATACTCTGGCCCAGCCCTGGTCCTGACCCTGTCCTGGCCCTAGCCCCGTTGCTGGTCCTGCCATGGCCCTTGTCCTGACATTGCCCTTTCCTGGTTCTGGCCCTGGCCCTGTCCCAGCCCTGCTCTGGCCCTGGTCTGAACCCTGGCCTTGCAATAGACCTGCCTTGGTCCTGCCCACACCCTGGCTCTGGCCCTGCCTCTGCCCTGGCCATACCCTTGCCCTGGCCTGGACCCCAGTCCTGGTCCTTGTCCTGCCCCAGCCATGGCCCTGGCCCTGCCCTGCCTGTGCCCTGTTCTATCCTGGGCTGGCCCTGCCATGACCTGGTCTTGCCATTGCCCTGCCCTAGCCTGCCATGCTTGTGCCCTAGATCTGCCCCGCTTGTGCCCTAGATCTGCCCCAGCCTTTGCCCCTGTCTTGGTTCTAACCTTGACTCAGCCTGGACCTTCCCTGACCTTGCCTCAGCCCTGGCACTACCCTGGCCTTGCCTTGGCATTTGCCCTACTCTCTCTATGGCCTGGCTGTGGTCCTGCCCTGCTCTGCTCTTGTTCTGTCCTGGCACAGCCCTGGCCCTGGCCCTGGCCCTGGCCCTGCTGTATCACTGGCTCTGGTCCTGCCCTTATGCAGACCTGACCCTGCCACTGCCTTGGCTTTGGCCTGGACCTTGGCCATACAGTGACCCTGCCATGACCCTTTCCTGGCCCTGGCCTGGAACCTGGCCCTGCCAAGGACTCGCCCTGGCTCTGTCATGGCCCTGGCCCTTTCCTGGATTTGGATGTGTCCTGTCCCTTATTTGCCCCGGCCCTTCCCTGGCTCTTCCATACCCCTTCTCTGGGGTAGGGCCAGGGTCAGGACCAGACCAGGGCAGGGTCAGGACCAGACCAGGGCAGGGTCAGGACCAGGGTAGGGCCATGGTAAGGCCTGAAGATGGGAAGGGCCAGGGCAGCGGCTGGACCAGGGAAGGGTCAGGGCCAGGGATGTAGTAGGACTAGGGGCAGAGCCAGCACTAGGGCTGAGCCAGGGCAGAGCAGGAGAGATTACTTTAGGTTATTATGTAAAATTTTTATTTTAGATTTTTAAGATAACTATAGTAGTAGTAATGTCTATACTATGTTGTTTGTAATAGTAATAATATTTGTAGTAATCACTAAATTTTAACTAATACTATCTTTGCTTCCAGTAGTGTTCTATGAGTATAATTTTATCAACATGTAAATATGTGAGGCATTGATTCTCACAATAATTCTATGTGCTAGGTACTTAAAGCATCTCCATTTTCCAAATGTAGGAAACAGGCATAAAGAAGTTAAATACTTGGCCAGATTACTCCTGTAATCCCAGCACTTTGGGAGGCCAAGGCAGGCAGATGGCTTGAGCTCAGGAGTTTGGAACCAGCCTGGGCAACATTGTGAAACCCCATCTCTACTAAAAATGCACAAAAAGAACTAATTTAAGTTTCTTGTAGGATTCTGGTTATAAAACACTGGTCAAACACACAGGGCATGGATAGGGCAGGGCCAGGGACAAGGTCAGGCCAGGAAGGGGCCAGGGCCAAGGCAGGGCCAGAGCTGGAATTGGAGGTGTCCTGGTCTGATTTGCCCTGCCCCAACGTTGGCCCAGCCCTGCTCTGGCACGTCCTGTCATGCCCTGTCCCTGGCCTGAGCATTGGCCCTGTCCCTGTCCTGCTTCTTGCCCTGCCCCGGAGTTGACCAGGCACTGCCATGGCCCAGTCCTGCATTGCCCTGCCCTCCTCTGCCCTGGTGCTACCATGGCCCTGCTTGGGCCCTAGCTCTGCCTCGACTCTGGACCTGCCCTGACTCTGCTCAGCCCTGGATCTACCCTGACTCTGCCTTGGTGTTGCCCTCCCATCTCTATGGCCTGGCTCTGGCCATGCCTTGCACAGGCCATGCTCTGCCCTGCGTGCCCCAGCCTGGGCCCAGCCCTCATCCTACCATATTCCTGACCCCAGCCATACCCTTGTTCTGGCCATGACCCTGCCATGGCCCTCTCCTGGCCCTTCCTTGGTCCTGCCCTGCCCTTCCATGCCCTGGCCTTGCCCTCACCCTGCATTGGCCCTGCACTGGTCCTGCCCTGCCCTGGCACTGCCTTGGCCCTGGCCCGCCTTCTCCCTGGCCTTGCCTTTGCCCTGCCCTGGCCTGACCCCAGGCCTACCGAGTCCATGAAATGGCCCTGGACCTGCCTTGCCATCCTCTGTCCTGGTCCTGTATTGTCCCCACCATGCTCTGGTCCAGTGCTTGCCCTAGCCCTGTTGCTAGTCCTGCCACTGCTATGGCCCTGCTCTGTTTTTGGCCATGCCCTGTGCTACCCTAGCCCTGCCCTGCCTTGGCCTTGGCCCTACCATGGCCTTCTCCTACCCTGGCCTGGCCATACACTGGCCTTTTCTACCCTGGCCTTGCCCTTCCCTGGTCTTGCCCTGCCCTGGCCTTGCCCTGCCCTGGCCTTGGCTTTGCCTTATCCTGGTCCTGGTTCTGCCCTGACCCTGGCCTTGCTCTGGCCCTGTCCCTGGCCCAGCCTTGACCCTGACCCTGGCCCTGACAATCCCCAGGTCTGACACTGGCCATGCTTGGCCCTGGCCCCTCCTTTTGGCCCTGCCCTGTCCCTGCCTTGGCCCTGTGCTATCTTAGTCCTGCCCTGGCCCTGAACTCGCCCTGGCCCTACCCTCACCCTACACTGGCCCCGCCCTACCCTGGCCTTGCCCTGCCCTGGCCCTGCCTTTGGCCTGCTGTGGCTCTGGTTCTGCCCTGGCCTTGCCCTTGCCCTGGACTCTCCCTGGCCATGTTTTTTCCACGGTCCTTCTCTGGCCTTGCCCTTGCCCTGTCCTCTTTCTGGTCCTGCCATGTTTCTGGCCCTGCCCTGTCCATGTCCTGGACCTGACTCTGGCCCTGGATCTCCCTGTCCCTGCCCTGCCATACCCTGGCCTGTTCCTTGCTCTACACTGACCCTGCCCTGCCTTGGCCCTGTGCTACCCTAGTCCTGCCCTGACCTTCTGCTGACCCTGATCCTGCCATGGCCCTGGCCCTGCCATGTCCCTGTCCTGGCCCTGGTTCTGCCCTGCTTCTGGCCCTGGCCTTAGTCCTCTCATGTCCCTGGCTGTGACCCTGCCCCTGGTTTTTCTCTGGCCATGACCCTGCCCCAGTTCTGTCCTATACCTGGCCCTGTCTCAGTTCTGTCCTAGCCCTGGCCTTTCACAGTACTTTATGCTTAGTAAGGGCTCCATGGTGTCTGTGAGTTGAATGTTGTGTTCATAGCATCTGCCAAAACAGAAACAAAAAAACAAAATATTTTGATAAGAAGTTAAAGCTTTGTATATAATATGCCTTGAATTGTTAGTGCCTGTTATTAGTTGTATTACATATAGGTCATGGTTTTGTACACATAACTCCAAACCATTGATACTGTTAAAAGAATATATGAATATATGAAAGAATGTGTAAACGTAAGAATGTATCAGTATCTAATGACCTTTCCAAATTAATTTTTATTTTTAGCTCTATTAGATTTTTCTCAGTGTAACAAATGTTTATTCCTATGTAATTAAGGGCGTATTTCCTGTCCAGAATATTCATATTACCTAATTGAAAATTATATGATACAAAAATATAATACTATTTTTAGGCCAGGCATGGTGGCTCATACCTGTAATCCCAACATTTTGAGAGGCCAAGTTTGGAGAATCATTTGAGTCCAGGAGTTGACCAGCCTGGGCAACATAGTGAGACCTTGTCTTTATTAAATAAATAAATAAATAAATAGGTTGGGCACTGTGGCTTATATCTGTCATCCCAGCATTTTGGGTTGCCAATGCAGGAGGATTGCTTGAGCCCAGGAGTTTGAGACCAGCCTGGGCAGAATAGCAAGACTCCATCTCTACAAATAATAAAATATTAACCAGGTGTGGTGGTGCGCACCTGGGGTCCCAGCTACCTGGGAGGCTAAGGTGGGAGGTTTGCTCGAGGTTGCAGTGAACTGTGAATGCACCACTGCATTCCAGCCTAGGCCACAGAACAGGACCTTGTCTATAAATAAAGAAATAAGTAAAAATATAAATAAAAATAAGTAAAAATAAATATAAGTAAATATAAATATAAATACATATAAATATAAAAATGCATACATGAAAAGAAACGATTTTTAAATTTAACATCACTGAGGGCATCCTATCCATTTCATTTCATGATTCCATCACATCATTTCACTTAGATGAAATGATAAGATGACTTGAGATGAGATGAAATGACAAAATGATGAGATGAGATGAGATGATGAGATGAAATTTTGAGATGAAATGGTGAGTAGAAATGATGAGATGAAATTATGAGATGAAATGACAAAATTGAAAAGAAATTGAAAGGAGATGAGATGAGTTAAAATGAGATGAAATGATGAGATGATGGATGAAATGATGAGATAAAACGAGCCATGAAATGATGAGATGAAATGAAATGAAATAATGAAATGATATGAAATAATGAGATTGAAATGAGATGAGATGAGATGAAATGAGATAAAATGATGAGATGAAATGAGATGAATGATGAGATGAAATGATGAGATGAAATGAGATGAAAAATGATGAGACAAAAAATGAGATTAAATGAAATGAAATAATGAAAGGAAATTATGAAATGTAATGATGAAATTGAAATGAAATTGAAATGAGATGAGTTGAAATGATGAGATGTAATGATGAAATGAAATGATGAAATGAGATGAAATAATGGGATGAAATGAGATAATGAGATGAGATGAAATCATGAGATGAAATGATGAAATGAAATGATGTATGAAATGATGAGATGAAATGAGATGAAATGTAATGAGATGAAATGAAATGACATAATGAAATGAAATAATGAAATGAGATGAAATGAAATAATGAAATGATGAAATAATGAAATGAAAATGAAATGGAAATGATGAGATGAGAAGAAATGATGAGATGAAATGATGAGATGAGATAAAATGAGATGAAATTATGAGATGAAATGAAATGAGATGAAATATGATGAGATGAAATGACATAATGAATGAAATGATGAAATGGAATAGTGAAACGGAAATGATGAGATGAGATGCAATGAGTTGAAATGAGATGAAATGATGAAATGATGAGATGAAATGATGAGATGAGATGTGATGAAATGATGACATGAAATGATGACATAAAATGAGATGAAATGAGATGTAATGATGGAAAGAGATGAGATGAAATGAGATGAAATGATGAGGTGAGATAAAATGGTGATATGAAATGATGAGATGAATGATGAGATGAAATGAGATGAATGATGAAATGATGAGATGAGATGAGATGATGAGATGAAATGATGAGATGAACTGATGAGATGAAATGAAATGAAATAATGAAATGAAATTGAAATAAAATTGAAATGAGATGAGATGAAATAAGATGAGATGATGAAATAAAATGATGAAATGATGAGATGTGATGAGATGAAATGATGAGATGAGATGAGATGAGGTGAAATAATGAAATGAAATAATGAAATGAAATTGAAATGAGATGAGAAGATACGAGATGAGATGAAATGATGAGATGAAATGATGAAATGATGAGATAAGATGAAAAGAGTTGATGAGATGAGATGAAATGAGATGAAAAGAGATGAAATGATGAGATGAAATGAAATGATGAGATGAAATGAGGTGAAATGAAATTAGACGAAATGTAATGAGATGAAATGAAATGACATAATGAAATGAAAAAATGAAATGACATAATGAAATGAAAAAATGAAACGAAATAATGAAATGAGTTGAAATTAAATGAGATGATGAAATTAAATGATGAAATGAAATAATGAAATGGAAATGAAACGGAAATGATGAGATGAAATGACGAGATGAATGACGAGATGAAATGATGAAATGCAATGATGAGATGAAATGATGAAATGATGAGATGAGATGAGATGTAATGATGAGAGGAAATGATGAGATGTAATGAAATGAGATGAAATGAATGAGATGAAATGAAATAATGAAAGGAAATTGAATTGAGATATGAGATGAAATGATGAGATAAAATGAGATGAAATAAATGATGAGATGAAATGATGAAATGCTGAGGTGAGATGAGATGAAATGAGGAGATGAAACGATGAGATGAAATGAAAGGACGAGATGAAATGATGAGATGAGGTGAGATGAGGTGAGATGAGATGAAATGAGATGAAATGATGAAATGAGATGAGAAGAAATGATGAGATGAAATGAGATGAGATAAAATGATGAGATGGAATGAAATGAAGTGAAATGAAATGAAATTGAAATGAGATGAGATGAAATGAGATAAAATGATGAGATAAAATGATGAGAAGAAATGAGATGAAATGATTAAATGATGAGATGAGATGATGAGATAAAAAATGATAAGATGAAAAATGATGAGATGAAATGAGATGAAAGGAAATAATGAAATAATGAAATGAGATGAAATGAAATGATGAAATGATGATATTAAATGAAATTGAAAGATGAGATGAAATGATGAGATGAAATGACGAAATGTTGAAATGAAATGATGAAGGGATATGACATGAAATGATGAGCTGAAATGATGAGATGAAATGAGATTAAATGATGAGATGAAAAATGATGAGATGAAATGATGAGATGAAATGAGATGAGATGAATTGAGATGAGATGAGATGAGATGAGATGAAATAATGAAATTAGGTGAAATAATGAAATGAGATGAAATAATGAAATAAAATTGAAATGAGATGAGAAGAAATGAGATGAAATGTTGAAAAGAAAGGAGGAAATGATGAGATGAGGAGATGAAATGATGAGATGAAATGAATTGAGATGAAAAATGGTATGAAAAATGATGATATCAAAAATATGAGATGAAATGAAATGAGATGATATGAAATGACATAATGAAATAAGTGAAATTAGATGAAATGAAATAGTGAAATGAAATGATGAAATGAAATAATGAAAATTAAATGGAAATGGGATGAGATGAGATTTGATGAAATGATGAGATGAAATGATGAGATGATATGAAATGATGAGATGAGATGGGATAAGATGAAATGATGAGACAAAATGATGAGATGAAATGATGAGATGAAATGATGAGATGAAATGATGAGGTGAAGTGATGCACTGTCACGTGTGTGTCTTTTTCCCAACCAACAAAAATTATAATTCATTAATTTTACTTTATTATTTAAGAATATTCTTAAGAGTTGAAGGAAAAATAATATCTGTACATTATGGGTTACAATTAAGTATAAATAATACATAAATATATTAAAACTTACAAAGAATATATTTCGGAATCGAATATACCATGCTTCTGTGATGACAGTTATTTCATGCTGGTTGTCACAATTTTACATGAAAAACTAATGAAAAAATGTTTTTAACTGTTTCTAAAAATAACAGTTTCCAAAACAGTTTTACATTCAAAATATGAAAAAGATGTATTTGTGTTCCTTAATCTGATGAGATTTTCACACTCTGCACATAATTGTTAGATTTTTATTGTGTTGATAAATTGTATATCAAATAAAAAATGTTATTACCTCTTAAATTAGGATTTTTAGGTGATATAGGCAGAAAGGAAGGTAAGTTTTTATAACTTTGTCTAAATGAACTTTCTAAATGCCTGAGTATTAAAAGATAGCATGTCTATAAATCACAATGTATATATTACTGTATGACGTAGGACAAATCAAAACCATTACCTCTGATAACATTATATTGTGCCCAGTATAAAATAGATATAATAATACCTCAAACTTAAATCCAGGCATTGTCATTGAATATCTTAAGAATATGCAGCAAAGGTGCTTTTAAAAATACAAGCTAGTGATTGTACTAAATTTGTAAATCACATAGGGTAGTGGGTCATTTTAAGAATATTATTTCAATCTATAAACGTGGATGTCTTTCCTTTTTTGTGTTTTCTTTAATTTCTTTCATTAATATTTGTCATTTTTGTTGTCAAAATCTTTTACTTCCTTGGTTAAATTTATCTCTAAGTACATTTTTGTAGCTATTGTAAAAGGAATTGCTTTCTTAATTTCTTGTTTCAGCTAGTTTACTATCAATATGTAGAAATGCTACTGATTTTTGTATGTTGATTTATATCCTGCAACTTTATTAATTTCATGTATCACCCTAAGAAGCTTTTGGTAGAGTCTTATTTTTTTCCATGTATAAGATCACATTGTCTTTAAACAGGGACAATTTAACTGTCTCCTTTCCAATTCAGATGTCTTTTATTTCTTTCTCTCACCTAATCGTCCTGGCTAAGACTTTCACTATGTGAAATATGATTGGTGAAAATAGGCATCCTTTTCTTGTTCCAGTATAATCTTTTTCTTGTTCACAGTAAAATCTTTCACCTTTTCCACACTCAGTATGATCTTAGCTGTAGATTTGTCCTTTATGTCCTTTGTGTTAAGGCATATATTTTCTATACTAAATTGATGAGAGGTTTTTTGTCATGTAAGAATATTTAATTTTGCCAAACGCTTTTATTGTGTTTATTAATTTAACCATATGGTTTTCAGTATATATCCAAAGGAAAGAAAATCAGTATATCAAAGAGTTACCTGCACCCCCATGTTTATTACAGCACTATGCACAATAGCCAAGATATGGAATCAACAAAAGTGTCCATCAACAGATGAATGGATAAAGAAATGTGACATACATATATAATGGAATATTATTTAGTCATAATAAAGAACAAAATCCTGTTATTTGTGGCAACAAGAATGCAAGTGGAGGGCATTATGTTAGGTGAAATAAGCCTGGCATAGAAACATAAACACCACATAACTACGTGTTCTCACTTATGTATGGAAGCTAAAATTTTTAATCTCGTAGAAATAGATAGTAGAGTTTTGGTTACCATATCCTGGAAAGAGTAGGAGACAGAAAAGTATAAGAAAAATGTGGTTAATACATACAAAATTACAGCTGGAGAGAAGGAAGAAGTTCTAGTTCTCTACAGCACTGTTGGGTGACTGTAGTTAATGGGAATTTATTGTGTGTTTTCAAATAACTAAAATAAAAGATTTTGAATATTCTCACTGCAAAGAAATAATACATGATTTAGGTAATGGATATGATAATGACTCTGACTTGATCTTTACGCATTGCATAAATATATCAAAATATCACTCTGTAACCCATAATATGTACATTTATTATATGTCAATTAAAGTAAATTTAAAAGAGAAAAGATGAGGTAAAGGTAAATGTACAGAATTTAATTGCTTTTTCTTCTATAAAACCCGAGTCAGTACCAAGAAGAATCAATTTATTAGTTTTCTAAAATAAAAAAAATCAAAATCTCCAAAAAAGAGCAATATCCAAGAAAACATTGAAAATGAAACACAACATTTAGTAAGAATAGAAAACTTGGGCACTGTATCACCCTGTTCCTAGATACCGATTTACTGATGGCCATTTAAATAGAATTTTATTCTATCTAATTCATTTATACTCCCAGAGTTCAAAATTACATTTTACCTACAATAAATGAGATAACACTTGTAAATTATATGGTACTCTGCCTAACACACGTTAATAACTCAATACATGTTAGCAATAAACTTTTAGTATAGTAGTCAAAGTATTAATTTCTCACATTGCAATTTCCTTCAAAGACATGAATACAACCTTTCTAATGACTCCTTGTTCATCAAGATACCTCTTCAAATTATTCTATTTGTTTCATTCAGTATATTGTCTGTGCATACCGATATTACACTCTTTTCTTTTTTTGAGATGGAATCTCATTCTGTTACTGATGCTGGAATGAGGTGGCACGATCTTGGTTCACTGCAACCTCCACCTCCCAGGTTCAAGCGATTCTCCTGTCTCAGCCCCCCAAGTAGCTAGGACTACAGGTGCACACCACCATGCCTGGCTAATTTTTGTATTTTTAGTACAGTCAGAGTTTCACCCTGTTGTCCAGGCTGGACTCAAACTCCTGACCTCAGGTGATCCACCCACCATGGCCTCCCAAAGTGCTGGGATTACAGGCATAAGCCACCGCACCCAGCCTGATATTGCACTCTTGGATTTTGAACACTGAATATCTTTTTGAAAGATTACACCTCTTCACCTCTTCGTGCTTCAGAAATTATTTTCCTTCAAGTGTTCTAAGAGTCTAATGAAGAATGAAGTCATGTTTTATCACTTTTGTCCTTAAAGATTTCAGACATGCTGAAACTGATTGAAGTATCATTTGCTACCCGATAGATTAATTATCTCTAGTTGTAGGAGTGGATACATCTTTAATGGTATATTTTTGGTCATTGTCTTATTTTTGATGTAGTATTCTATCAATAATTTATTAAACCTGGCATCCTTGGGTGAGCATAGATTTTTCAACTTTGGTGTTATATTGTGTTTGCTTTTAAAAACTGCTTTTGAGGCCAGGTATGGTGGCTCTTGCCCATACCCAGCACTTTGGAAGGCCAAGGTGGGCGGATTACCTCAGGTCAGGAGTTCAAGACCAGCCTGGTCAACATGGCAAAACCATGTCTCTACTAAAAACACAAAATTAGCCAGGCATGGTGGTGCATGCTTATAGTCCTAACCACTCGAGAGGCTGAGGCAAGAGAATCACCTGAACCTGGGAGGCAAAAGTTGCTAGGTTGCTGTGAGGCAAATTCACACCATTGCACTCCAGCCTGGGTGAAAAGAGCAAAACTCTGTCTCAAAAAAAAACCCACCAAAAACTGCTTCTGAATGGAATTGTACATGCAATTTTGATGAAAAAAATTATCAAGTGCATAAGTTCATAATAGAAAAACAAATAATTCTCCAGGCACAAGTTAGTACTAAAAAAATTATGTTGAATATTCTCTAATACAACATGCTTTTTCCCTTCATGAACAATTTGTGTTTTACTGAGAAGAGTCATTGTTTATGGTAGACATTAGACCACAGATGAATATGTACTTTAAACACTCTTAGTTACTTTCTTAATTTTATATCTGCTGCTTCATGCTTCTGTTTATTTTCATTCTTTCCAATGTCCACATTCTAGTAAATTTGAATATTTTAATCCGTTTATATACTATTTAATATTGCTTGTATAGTTTAGTATTGTTAAGACTCAAAAAGGTTTACAGAAAGAAGAAAAAGATCAACATGTTATTAATCATTTAAAGATCTTTTGAAATCTTTGACCTTTATATTTTAATGAATAAAATATTAGTAGTTATTAGTATAAAATAATTTATGTCTTTTGGACTTAGCATCCAGTATTTTTTTAATAAAGAAAATAATTATTCTCTTGCAATATACTATGTTTATCTGGGTTTTGAAAAGTGCTGTTTCCTAATATGAGAAAGCCATTTACATTTTTAAATCTACAAAGGCAAATGGAATGGTACTAAATTATTTACATAATAATGTTTAGATGGTGGCCCTTATAACATTCTTTCTATACTTCCTACAGAGTTGCAGATATGCAATCATAGAATATTTCTGGGAGCTAATCCTTTAGCTTGATGAATGAAACAAGACTTTTAAATAAAATTAAACTTTCAAATTATCCAGGTAATGGGCCTGTCTTTTAATTCAATGGATATGGAGCATAATGAATTATCTCTGTTCATTGGGTAATAAGTTTTCATTCTTCTAATACTCAAAATGTCCTTTAATTTTTAATAGTCATATCATTATCCCTAGGTATTTTAGCTTCTATCTTAAACTCTAAAATAATTTTGAAACAGGAGAAAGTATTCTTTATTACTATATGTATTAAACATCATGGTTTTCAAATTTAACTGCAAATGTATCTTTTCATTGCTTCTTGGTGATGCCCTTCACCCTATCCATATTGTCACTACCAAGTGGTGATTACTTTTCAGGTTCACATACTTATTCTTTAGAAAAATCTCTGTGCCTTATAAAGAATATGATTGTTGGCATTCAAAAGCCAGCGAAGTATACATTATTAGCCTGTTGCCTAACTCATTTCTTTAAGAAACTACACTAATTACCCACATACTTATGTTTTTATTTCCTCATTATTTCTGGAGAAAACAAATACTGCTAACATGATATTTGTAAGAGAGAAAAAAGTCTTTTCTTGAAAAGTGCTGTCATTGTAGTACTAACTTATAGTATCAACTTCTTTATAAACTCCTTATACACTTTTTATTCTGAGAGAAATAAAAAAGCTAAAAGTGAAATGACTTTTTTAATTCCCCATATTATAAGCACCCATGTTGGTAATTTAGGGTCTTTATAGTTAGGGTAAGTTGTGTCATACCGAGATTACAAAATAAAAAGTATTTTGTCTCTTTGGGCCTTTCCTTATTCAGTAATACTGTCAGTTTGGCTTTTTTTGTAGGTCAACTTATTGATATCAGTATTCTGAAATAATATGTTTACTATCTTTTGATAAGCATTTAAAATATTAGATTTATTGTTACTCTTCTGCCTTCATTGGGCTGGAAGAATAATTGTTTCTCACTCCACAAAGGCCAAGTTGCAGAGAAAAACACATAGACATTCAACTGCAAAGCAGAGAAACTTGACTATTTCCTGCAGTTTTAAAGTGTATATTGAATAAAACCATCTTTTTATTTTCTTTTTTGCTCACTGACAAATATTAACAATATCAAGTGTGTTATTATAATGTTATCTAGTTAAAAATCTCAAAAAGTTTTCATAATTACCATTTAAAGATATATAAGTAGGTGACCTAATGTTAATTTTTATTGTCTGAGACCATGTCTGTTATTTCACTCTTTAAATTCAATTAGTAATGCAGAACCTAGCACTTAGTACTCAAAAATTATTTGCTGGATAAAAAAAGGTTAAACATGTAATATATACAAAATGTACTGGAAAAAATGCACCAAACAATTTTGTTATACCAGTTTAATGTAGAATATTGCCTTTAAAAGATAATATAGTTTTCAGGTGTCTACAGTGATTTTGTAATATTTGTGCACATATAAAATAATATTTCCAAAAATGTAATCCAGTGAGGAAATATACTCTCTAAATTCTAGATTTATAATTTAGGGTTTAAATTATAAAATCATTAAATAAGATACAAGTGAAATATAGTCAAATATCCCCTTGGAAAAAAATTAAGTGGCCTTTAAAGTGAGGTATTCATATATGTAATTTTACAATCCTCTAGTGATAGAATTAATTAAATAAGCCACCAAATTGATTAATTCCTACAGTGTTAAAAGAGAAGCACTAACAATACCGGTGACCATGTAACATGGATTTAAGCTACAAGTCATAGAAATGTGATGAGAAGCCTCAGCGCTGTAAAACAGAGGGTGGAGGAAAGCTTTTCCTCTCTCAAATGAGCTTTGCGAGGTATACTTCTTGAAGGATAGGAAGTTGAAGTGTTCAGGACTTTTATGTCTATTCTACTTTGGCTTAGTTTACATGATTCTTAGTTTATTAGCCTAGAAATGGCCAAGAAAACTTAAGGCTCAATAATTAGTTATAAATATGAAATATCCCCAATTTTTAAGATAAAAACAACTTATAAATGTATTTGTCTGTAAAAATTGTGTATATTTTTACAGAACATCTATTTCTTTTTTTCTTTTTTAATTTTTTTATTATACTTTAAATTCTAGGGTACACATGCACAATGTGCAGGTTTGTTGCATATGTATACATGTGCCATGTTGGTGGGCTGCACCCATTAACTCATCATTTATATTAGGCATATCTCCTAATGCTATCCCTCCCCCCTCCCCCCACCCCACAACAGGCCCTGGTGTGTGATGTTCCCCTTCCTGTGTCCAAGTGTTCTCATTGTTCAATTCCCACCTATGAGTGAGAACATGCAGTGTTTGGTTTTTTGTCCTTGCGATAGTTTGCTGAGAATGATTGTTTCCAGCTTCATCCATGTCCATACAAAGGACATGAACTCATCATTTTTTATGGATGCATAGTATTCCATGGTGTATATGTGCCACATTTTCTTAATCCAGTCTATCATTTTTGGACATTTGTGTTGGTTCCAAGTCTTTGCTATTGTGAATAGTGCCGCAATAAACATACGTGTGCATGTGTCTTTATAGCAACATGATTTATAATCCTTTGGGTATATACCCAGTACTTGGATGGCTGGGTCAAATGGTATTTCTAGTTCTAGATCTCTGAGGAATGGCCACACCGACTTCCACAATGGTTGAACTAGTTTACAGCCCCACCAACAGTGTGAAAGTGTTCCTATTTCTCCACATCCTCTCCAGCACCTGTTGTTTCCTGACTTTTTAATGATCACCATTCTAACTGGTGTGAGATGGTATCTCATTGTGGTTTTGATTTGCATTTCTCTGATGGGTCTATTTCTTTAAAACAAAGGGAGGGGAGTCTCTCATTTACATTAGTTTTTTTCATAGCCTTTTGGACTTTGCAATTTCTATGTTTTGGAACCTATTTCTTACAGTTTTTCTATGCTAAACTCTGTCCTGGTCAGTTCCAGAGTGTATGAAGAACCAAATGATGTAATTGTATGTGACCTGGCTGTAGTGGAACAAATTTGACTCTTAAGTATGCAGGCTCTAATTTTCCTGTCTGGTTTTGGTAAGTATTCCTTACATAGGTTTTTTCTTTGAAAATCTGGGATTGAGAGGTTGATGAATGAAAATTAATCCTTTCACTTTGTTGTATATAAGTTTGCAATAATTAGGTCAGAGTGGAGTTTTAAGGTCATGAAGGAGGCTGATGACTTACAAATAATGGGCTCTGATTGGGCAACTACTCATCTGAGTTCCTTCCATTTGACCTAATTAAGCTTATGAAATTTACACTAAGCCATGAGCTCATCTTTAAAAAGTCTTATTAAAAGATTTTCAGCTGTTCCAAATGGGACTTATTAGTGGAATGTATTTTAAAGGATCATATGAGATGAATGAAAGGTATTTGATCCTTTCTTTCCATAATAATAAAATGATGGTTTGGAAAAAGAGGCTACAGTCTAACCACAGTGCTATTATTAGGCTTTCTTGTTAAACATAGGTCTAAGCCTAAGTATGTCAATACAACAAATACTTACTGTTTCATTTCTAGTAATGAAAAAAAAAAACAAGTCTTTCTGGCATAAGGATGATTTTCATCTGGTTATTTTGAAACATTTTTGTAAAATAAGTTTACATCTATGAAGAATATTTTTATTTGTAAGGAGGGGTATGTCTCTGTGCACTGGAAGAGAGGGAGGACTAAATCACTGGGAAGTCTTATGATAAAGAAGCCATTGGCTTAAATCAGCAAAGCAAGCCATCCCTTGGTTTAAGGTGTTTTTCCTGGCCATCCTGTCTTGACTAGAACTTTACCTACACATTCCTTTTTGGTTTAGGCAAATTATAGTATCTAAACCTGAAGTCTCAGCTCTGTGTCTTTGAGATATAAATGTTCTACCACGTCTTCTCTGGAACCTGATAACTATCTATCTCTTTAAAATGCAAGTCTAGGGAGATGACTCATCAGAAAAAGAAGAAAAAGGTATTTGGAAATTGTGCAAATTAAAGCAGCCCATGATGCCAAAGTCTACACATTCCTGAGTGAGTCAGTTCTGGCCAGTTCTAGCTGGATCAAGAGAGCTCTGCTGGGCAGGCCTGAAGAGTAGCTGGATGGCAGACACCTGAGGAGCCAGGTGTCTGAAATTTCCTCCACCTGCTTGAGGAGCGCCAAAGCCCAGGTGCTGGCTAGACAACCCCTTCTGGCTGCCTAAGCAGGTGGCAGAGGAAGGAAAAAAGGTCAGAGGCAGAGTGTTGAACCCTGCCTCCCAGGTGGGTGGAAGATGCCTGTCGCCAAACTAGGGCTCAGCTTACCGGGTGAGATGGGTGAACTGGTGATCTCCCGAGAGAGTGGACGTCAGAACTACATGGTCCTGGACTTCACCTAGGCCAGTGAAGGAGAGAGAGGGTTAATGTTAACTGCAGGAGGCCCACTCTAGCCTTAAATTTTGTAATTCAAACCCTTCCCTTGGAGACAAAACAAACATGACAAGGAATTCTGAGGTCAGGGGACAAGAATCACAAGTTCCCCAGTGGGAGACTGAGGAGGCAGTGTCCTTTCTGCCCTTGGTCTACTGGCTAAGAACCTTCCTCAGCCTGACCTTTCCACATTGCACTTTCAGCTCTGTTTGCAATTTTCCTCCTTTAGTGCTGAGGGAATCCCAGTGTTCGATACTGAAATCTATACATTCCTAATGGGTGGTTAAAAAAAAAACCTCAGCAAGAGAAGCAGAAAATGTTTCCTCTTCCTGAAAAACTGTAGAAAGGCAGGCACCATTCTGGGTGGGACATGGTCCTTGCAAAAGTCTTTATGGTTTTTTTTTTTTTTTTGAGATGAAGTTTTGCTCTTGTTGCCCAGACTGGAGTGCAGTGGCGTAATCTCTGCTCACTGCAACCTCTGCCTCCTGGGTTCAAGGAATTCTCCTACCTCAGCCTCCCGAGTAGCTGGAATTACAGGCACCTGCCACCATACCTGGCTAATTTTTTGTATTTTTAGTAGAGATGGAGTTTTGCCATGTTGGCCATGTTGGTCTCGAACTCCTGACCTCAAGTGAGCCACCCGCTTCTGCCTCCCAAAGTGCTGGGATTACAGGCGTGAGTCACTGTGCCCGGCCAAGATTCTGTTTTGATAGAACACTTGCGTCTCTCTCACCTTGTATTTAGAGAAGTTAGAAAGTAAAAGATAATGTATATAGAAAGCTTTTTGAAGACTCTTAAGAAGTTCATAAATATGGGGCACTATGACTATGCATATGAAAATATTTCCTATCAGTTGGCAGTTACCACCTCTTATAGTGGCATGGAACCTCTTGAGTTAAACCAAGACTCAGTGAGATTGGGTGATTTAGGTAGTGTCATTTTATGAACAAGGGGTACCCTACTCAGTTCTTTTATTTTATTATACTTCTCTTTGACATTCACTCCAGTGAAAGAACTCTTTCAAAAGACATCATGCCTGGTCTCACGGAGATTCAAAGGTGTTTGAGTCCTTCCTTATTATGCCCTTGGAAGATGCTTTGAGGACCCCAGTGATGAATCCCAAGAACTCTGTCTCCATTATCCCTGGAATAGGGCACCTCATCACTCTGGTGTTATCCCTGAAGGGCCTTCATAATAATGTGCTTAAAAGAGTCCCCTATTATGTCCTTCAGGATGGAGCTTGACTTGCCCAAATTGCTATGTACATGTTAAAGAGAGGCTGGAACTGAAGTTGGTCATTTCTCACTGGATCAGTCAACAAGGTTTGAGTACTTTCTGTGTGCTCTGCATCATTCTGAGTACAGAATAAGGCATGGCTCCTGCCTTCAAGGAGTATGGAATTTAATAGAAGATGACAACATACATGATTGTAAATCTATCTACATGAGAGTGAATAATTGTGAGATTCCTAATAAACGGCAAGATATGTTCTGAAAATGTGAAACATAAATGAGGTTGAAGAAATTGTGAAAAGTTTAGCAGAGGAGGAATAATTCGTCAGGTTCTTTAAATACAAGTAAAGGGGAAAGGAAGGACCATTTTTAAGTTTAGATATTCCAAGGGTTAGTGGTGAGGTGGATTATGGTATGTCTTCTCGTTGATGAGGGTGGAGACTGGCGAATAGTGGAAAATAAAGTTAAATAGCTAGGGTGGGGCCAAATTATGGGTTTTAATAAAAGCCAGGCATAGAAATTTAGATTGGGGTGGTAGAAAAATGAAGGCTTTAAAAGTTTTTAAGCCAATGAATGACATCATACAAGTTCTATATAAAGAGCAGTGATTTCAGGATGGGAGAGAATGGCATCAGGAAGACCCACTTGAATGCTGGTAACTAATGTTACTAACAGTGCCATCAGTAACATTAATGTTACTAGGGCCTGGACTGATATGCTGATGGAAGTGAGAATGAAGAATAAGGTGGGATGAAAGAGATTTTGACAAGAGTTTTTTAATGAACCTGAAATGGGAAAGGGCGAGATTGACTAAGCCTGCTTGCCATGGACAGCAATGGGGTTGCTAGAAGATTAGCTGTGCGGAAAAAGTTATGCATTTACCTTTGGGCATAATGAAATGCAATTGACTCTCCATATTCATGGGTTCTGCATCCACCAATTCAAACAACTGTGGAACAAAATTGTCAGAAAAAACAATACAATGATAAAAAATGATACAAATAAAAAACAACATGGTATACCAACTATTTACATAGCATTTACATCGTATTAAGTGTTATTAAGTAATCTAGAGATGATTTAAAGTATATAGGAGGATGTGTGTAGGTTATATGCAAATACTACACTATTTTATACCAGTAACTTGAGCATCCATGGATTTTGGTATACAAGGGGGATCCTGGAACAAATTCGCCATGCATATCAAAGGATGACTGTATGAGTTATCTGTAAAATGGTTTGGTTGAAATGTTTAGAAAACAGCTAGAAATACAAGACTGGCTGTTGGATGAAAAAAACATAGGACTAGGAAATTCAGGTATGCTAGTCTTTTTGAGTATTGCTTAAAGCCATGGGAAAAGAGCTCTCTGTGAGTTCCAAGACAGATGCAAGGACTGGCATTCATGCACAGCTTCTAGCAGTTAAATCTGAAGAGTTCTTAGTATGCATGTTGACTGTAATTACTTTAGAAGTAATTTTTCTCCTGGTGATAAAAGGCATGTAAGGCTATTTTAGGAAATTGAAAAATGCAAAAAGGTATAAAGAAAAAGAAAAGATAATCATTAATAGTACGTTAGTAAACAAGATTTGACTAAAGATATGACTTTCCTCCCGCTTGTTTTCTTATGCATATAAAGGGATAGGAAATATGTATGTATGTATGTGTGTGTATAGGATCATGCACTATAGCTTGCTTCTTTTTCCACTATGATAATTTTCCCATGTCATGAATTACGGCTTGCAAGTGCTTATTCTTAAAGGGCTGCATTATTTTTCATTATTTGGATTTATTGTTATTTAAATGGAGCTCTATTATTGAACATTTAGATTGCTTCCAAAATTTTTTGCTCTTGTTAATATATTGTAATAAACTTCTGTGAAACACATACTCTTCACCTGCTACTTACATATGACTTCTGTAAGCCGAGACCTCTGTATCCCCAGGACCTAGAAGGTTACCTGGACATAGTAGTTTCTTAATTAAAAAAAATTATTGATTGAATGAAAGAAGACTATTAAATGTTTTAAATGTTCAGTTCTTCTTTTTTTATTCTGATTCCCTGTGTATCCAGAGGCCTCCTATTTGTCTGCATGTATGAGTTTGGCTGTAATGAAAGTATTGGCCATATATGACCATAAACGGGCATTCCTATTTCTGTCACAGTTATATTTGTCATTCTGTATTAATACATCTATACCCTGATTTCTATTGAAGCATGGTTATTTTTGTTTGCTTCTAAGCAATGTAGCTACCCTATTGATGCTGATAAAAATAAATTTCTGAACCTATAAGACTGAGGATTGGGCCTAGGTTGTGGTAAATTGGCAAGATAATGGATACTACCCTGTCAAGAGCCCTCTGAAGAGAAAAGTCTGCCACCCTTCACCAGGTAGAAACTCCTGGCAGTGCCACATTTTCCAGTTTGACGCCCTGTGATACCCTGAAAACACAGATGTTTGACTCTTTTCAAATAATATTTTAACATATTTTAAGATGCAAAGGCATTGTGTCAGACTTTTTTCTTAAGAATGTATTTCATTACCACTCAGAAGTTAGCTTCCAAAAGAAATAAGTGTGTGCAAAGGCTTATGATAGTGGTTTAGAGAAGTTTTTAAAATAAATGTGCATCTTTTATGGTAATAAAAGCACATTATGAAGAATTTTTTAGGTCCAGTTCACAGATTCCTTGTGCCTGGGGAAAACTTTATTAGAAAATTAGATCATTTCTAATTTGATTAGGGGAAGTCTAATGGGAAAACTTTTTAACTGAGCGGTCCAATTCAAAACATGAATATCTGTGCTGGAAGCTTCTATTGAACTTTACTTAAGTCACATCTAAGACCCTCTGCCTGTCAGTCCACCATTACCCTAACAGTGGTAGAAATTCTTTATATGACACCTAGATCTTTTTTTTGTTGCACTTTTAAACTGTGTAGGAAACACACTGCCCACATGTTCATACAACACAGAGTGATTATCCACTTAGTTCCTAAATAGTTGTATTTGGTTATGGGGTTTGATCCCACTTTTCCAGGGTTTAGGTCAGCTACTGAAGATTAGGATATCTGGGTACCTCTTACTGGAGAATCCATTCCTGTTTTCATTTCATTCCTGGGGGTAATATTCAATCTGGTGTGGCCCTCTGTATTATAAAATGTTTCCCAGATTGTGTTTATCTGAAATACAAATCCAAGAAGAAGCATGGTGTTAATTGCCGTGTAAAAAAGATTCCAGAGTGAAGAGCTTGAGATGTTCTATTCCTTCCTTCATAGGTTCAGTTGTTTAACCCAGCATTTTTCAAACATATTTTACTCCTAGAACCTGTTTTTCATCAGACATATTTAAGAAAAAAGCGTTTTGTAGAACACATTTGGACAAATGATACTTTATATCATTACTTTGTTTTTTAAATTTTAGTTTGACTCAATTTTACAGTTTCAGGATTTTGTTTCTGTTTCAGGTTTTAAGCTTTTCTTTTATAAATAGTTACTTTCCTAGTCTGAAATGTATACATTGTTTCAGTAATGAATTCATTATGTAAATTTGCCCATCATTCATCTAAAGGGAATAAATGTTAAATTGTTTTTTTAAATTTTGACTTGTGTCACATATGAGAATATAAAGTATATCTGTACAATAAAGGAAAATGAAACATCAAAGTATCTACCTCAGATTAAGAAGCAGAGCTTGGCCAGGCATAGTGGCTCACCCCTGTAATCCCAGCACTTTGGGAGGCAGAAGTGGGAAGATCACTTGAAGCCAGGAGTTGGAGACCAGCTTGTTCAATAAAGGAAGACCTCATCTCTAACAACAACCACAACAGCAAAAAATTAACCAGGCATGGTGGCACATGCTTATAGTCCCAGCTACTGGTGCAGCCTCGAACTCCTGATCTCAAGCTATCTTCCCACCTCAGCCTCATGTTGTAGTGAACTTTGTTATGCAGTGTCTCCTATTCTACATGTGCAGGAGTATTTTTACTGTATGTACCTGGAGTGGAATTGCTTGGTCATTGGGCATGTGTGTGTTCAGCTCTATTGAGTGGCATCATACCGTTCTCCAAAGCAGTTGTACCAATCTACACCCTCACCAGCAGTGAATAGTCTTCCCATTGTTCTTCCTCAATGAAACTAGATATTCACAGCCTTTTAGGTTTTTCCTAGAGTATGAAGTGGCATCTCTTTGGGGTTTTAATGTTTATTTCCCTGATTAGAATTGTAGTTGAGCATCTTTTATTATGTTTATGGACCATTTATGTTTTCTCTTCTGTGAAATTCCTATTCGGGTTTTTTGCTCATTTTAAATGTTGTTGTTTGTGTTTTTCTTATATAGGAACTCTTCACGCATTCAAGATGCACATATGTTGTTCAGAATAGTACCTGAGACATAGAAACAACTTTGTAAGAATAGCTATCATTATATTACCATTGTATTTAATCCTTTGTTTTTATGTGTTACAATTATCTTCTGCTAGTTTGTGGCTTATTTTTCATTCTGTGATGCTAATTTTTTAACCTAGTATTCTATTATTTTAAAAATACACAATCTTGAGTAGTCTACATGTTCATAACCATGACATATTCATGTTGCATGTGTTCTGTGTCATAACCCAGAACTTTCCTTTTTTTTTTTTTGAGATGGAGTTTTGCTTTTGTCACCCAGGCTGCAGCAATGGCGTGATCTTGGCTCACTGCAAACTCTACCTCCTGGGTTCAAGAGATTCTCCTGCCTCAGCCTCCTGAGTAACTGGGATTACAGGCACCTGCCACCATGCCCAGCTAATTTTTGTATTTTTAGTAATGACGTTGTTTCACCATGTTGGCCAGGCTGGTCTCGAAATCCTGACCTCAGGTTATCCGCCCACCTTGGCCTCCCAAAATGTTGAGATTACAGGCATGAGCAGCTGCACATGGCCAACTTTCAGTCTTAAGTACCATTTTTTGCTGCTGTTTCTTTTTTTGAACCCCAGGAAAAAATTAACTCATTTAATCCCCTATTCAAACTGCTACAATTTTATTTTCAGTGTTGTCGCCTGGTTGTAGATGCATTTGTCTCTCCAAATGCACTGTGATTATTTCCAAGACAAAACATGTTTGGCATTGTGATATATATATATATATATATATATATATATATATATATATATGTATATATATATGTATATATATGTATATAATATATATTGTATAAATATTTATATTTTATAATTTTATATATCATATAAAAATTATATATAAAAATTATATATATATATATAAATGCCACTTATCCCTAATATAGGGACTCGATTAGTTTCTGCTAGTGTGGGGACAAGTCTTATCATGGCTAGGGGCCACGATGGTAGGAGCAGTCAGAGGATTTCTTGCATTGTGATGAGTGCATATAAGTTAAATGAGCCACTTATCAGTAGATTTGATAGCAGGATAACAGTTATATCACTGATACCTAGGCAGTACATGACACTCGCTAAAGAATAGATTAATCCTCATGCTCTTCATCTTCCTCCTAATCTCTTTACCTGTGCTTCCCTCCAGCTTTCAAAGTGCTCTGAGTCATCACTTACACAGTGTTCCTTAGCTGCCCCTTCAGTGGGCCAGTGTTTCTGTGCCCCAGTGTTCCTGAGAGTTAGAACACAGAAAACAGAGCAGGCTCTTGCCCACATCACAGAACATCTTTGTCTACCTGTGGATCCCGCACATTTGTTCATTAGAGTTCAGGAATTGCCAGAGACTGGCTTTTCTGGCAATGGACACTAGATTCTTCAGAAGAATATTGGTTGAAATCTTCCTGCTGTGACAGTTCCCTGCATGCAGGGCAGGAGTGTGTGCTTCTTCCCAGCAAAGGCAGAGTCAGGGCCTACAGAAACTGTGCCCACAGCCTATAGTGATGGGGTCTATGAGGTAATTCAGGCAAGTGAGGCAGGTGAGTTCTTTCTGGAAGGCTTGTGGGAAGTCTAAGTCCATTTTTCTGAGGGAAGAAAACCAGAAGAATTTATTCTTATACCATAGAGAGACAAATATCTACACAAAATTTGAAACAGGTTTTGAGTAGGATCCGCTCACAGGTTTAAATCTATAGCAGGATACGATTTTATTTTGCACATAACAAAATGAAAAACTGAGGCACAGAATTCAAGCTTTGCAGAAAAATGTGTTGGCTCCCTAATCAACACTCACACACACACCTACTTTCCCAAATTCTTTCCTCCTGTATGAAAAAACTTAAGGCTGGGCACGGTGGCTCATGCTTGTAATCCAGCACTTTGGGAGGCTGAGGCAGCAGGATTGCTTGATCCAAGGAGTCCAAGACCAGCCTGGGCAACATGATGAGACCCTGTCTGTACAAAAAGAAAAGGAGGAAAAAATTAGCTGAGCATGCCAATACTCCCAGCTACTAGGGAGGCTGAGGTGAGACGTTTGCTTGAGCCCAGGAGGTTAAGGCAGCAGTGAGCCATAATCCAGCCACTACACTCTAGCCTGAATGACAGAGCAAGACTCTGTCTCAAAAATGAACAAAGAAAGAAAAGAAAGAGAGAGAGAGGGAGGGAGGGAAGGAGGAAGGAAGGAAGGAAGGAAGGAAGAAAAGGAAGGAAGGAAGTTTACAGAGTTTTTTGAGGTGTTAGTGTTCCCTAAATTGTATGGTCTTCAGAGTTTACTCTCCTATAGCTTCAAGGGGTGAGTCCTGACTGGTAGGAAAATCAATCACACTCTTACTTGCCAGTGATTCATTTAGGGAAGACAGCTAACTAAGCTCTTCCATTTTGATTATTTCATTTAATTGTAACAACCATCTTATCATGACTTCTTCAAAATTACCCTGCCAGTAAGTGCTGGAGGACTCCCCAGAAGCAGAAACCACCATGCTTCCAGTATAGCCTACGGAACCATTAGCCAACTAAAGGTATTTCTCAGGTATTTCTTTATATCTTCAGCCAAAATTAAAGAGTTAGGCTTTACTCTCCAAGATACTGCAACAGACAAAAACAAGGCACCACTGTTTTCTAATGTTGTTTTCTTGTTAATTCAATCAACAAGTATTTTCTGGTAAGTTTACTGTTCCAGAGACTGTTAACCTGGTGATGCACCGGTTAATAAAACATCCTTAAGAGAAATAAAAGTTTAAAAATAAGCCAGATGATAAAATGCAGTAGTGTACACAATGCCACTTATCCGCATGTCTTCTCTCTGTCACCCATGATCCAGAAAATTTCTTTAGTATAAGCCATTGATAAAGATGCCTGAAAAATTCATGTATAGAAGACATAGTCACGAAATTATTTTTTTCCTTTGATATCCCTTGTTACCTCAAACAGAATTTACCACTCCAATTTGATTTCTGAATACATGGGAGTTAATAGAATACTCCTAATCCATTTATAGGATCTACACTAAGTAAAAAAATTAAAGACATCTGAAAACTATTTTGTAAGTCCTTATAATCCATATCAACAATTATGGAATATATTAAGTAATAGACCAAAAATTAATCATCATATTAACCAAAAACACATAGCAAGACAAGATAACTAAATATTTTCATTTGGAAATTGGGAAATTTAGTCAATTTTAAAACTCAGCAAATGAGATCATTTCACAGAAGCAACCTAGGTTTGCTGGTAAATTAAAATTATGACATTTTGTTTTGGTTTGGGAGGGTAGTTCCTCTTCTGTAAATTGTGTACTCACATAAGAAATATATCTATGTTCTCACAGACACTTGCTGTAGAGGTAATAATATGAAGTTAGCTCAGGGATCAGGGCCTCACAGTGCAGTGCTGGTAGTTTTTTTTTTTTTTTTTTTTTTTTTTTTTTGCCCTGCACCTTGAGTAAAAGTTTCCTGAGGCCTCCCCGGAAGCAGAAACCACTATGCTTCCTGTATAGCCTATGGAACGGTGAGCCAACTAAAGGTATTTCTCATGTATTTCTTTATAGCAATGCAAGAACATACTAATACAGCTAAGCAGAGGCTATCAGGACCAGCAACAGTCTGAGCTGGATGAGAGACAAAGCTAAACTTTGAGCAGCAGCAGGAGCTGCCAGGGAGACAGAAAGGAAGGACAGACTCCTAAATTCCAGGATGTCTCCTTTAAGTCTGTAAGAAGCTCAGCCACCGTCTCCTTACCTGACTCCTCTGGGAAAGAGTTTCCCTAGGTTAAGCCATACAGGGATAGGGTAGGAGATGCCATTTGGATCTAGGAGCAGAGGGCAGAGACTCAGCAGGAAGAGTGTCTCTTTGAGAAGGAGACACAGTGGAGTAGGTGTGTAGGTTCACAGGGCCAGCTATGGGTAGAGTCGGGTGTACATTTTTAGAAGCCACAATTCCCAAAAATCTCCTGACTATAACATCAGTGCACAGAGCCAGTGAAATGGAGGAGGAGTGGGTCCAGGCAATTCAGGAAGAAGGAAAGTAACAAATGAGTGGTTGCAGGAGGACACTTTTTCTGTCGAGGTCACTAAACAAAACATTGTCTCCTCCCCTTAACTTCGGAAACAAGCAATGGAGGGTAAAAGTGTTGCCTGGGCCCTGGGGGCAAAGGGAGTAGATAACTTCTCTGTCGCGTTCTCCAGAAGGGCCCATTCCAGCCTCACAGGCCGAGAAGTCTGTTCGGTTCCCAAGTACTAGAGATGCTGCTATAAGGGACTCCCGAATTTCCTTCCTGAACCAGAGGCTGCCCAGCCTTTTCTTCCTGTTTTATTTTTTCCCAGGAAGATACTTGCCTGTACAATTACAAGGTTCTACGGTTCTAAATTCCAATCTAGTCTTCCACATCATTTTGAAGGTATATTATTTGTCAAAGTGGGATGATAGAAGATAAGTGTGGACATAAAATTAAATTGTTGACAAGGAAAAAAACTAAAATAAGAAAATAAGAGAGAAAAAATATATGTATGTACAGTGGTTAGCTAGAAATATGCCCTTTAAATATTTGGCATGTGGTATGTGGGCCTCAATGTGTACTATTGCACTAGCTTCCCAAATATTAAAGGATGTCTTTTAAAAGAAAAACCTCTTGCTAAAAGGTTAACAGTTAAAATAACCAGAGTGGCACAGGTACCAGTCATTAAGTGAAACCTTTCATCTTCCCAGAATAGTACCTGTTCCCAAGCCAGCTTCGTTGAAAATCACTTTTCTCTCCTTTACTATTTAGTTTACAGATTGTATAGTAACAATACAGAAACCACAATAGTAGCAAAAAGATAAAGAATATTTTTAAATGAAAACTCACATCCTAACTCTACCAAAACATGAAAATTAAACCTGAATGCCTCCCATTCCTGATATATTTTTCACCTAAATATTCAGCTCTGGGATTGCATTGTTTTTGGATTGAGTGCAAATTATTGCCTGGTCTTGAAATCTTCCATAATGTGCGTGTGTGTGTGGGTGTGTGCGTGTGTGCGTGTGTGTGTGTGTATGTATGTGTGTGTGGTGAATATATTTCTTTTTGTTCAGAGCAAACATTTTTTCAATATGTATATTTATTTTAGGCAGATTATGCTAGTAATTTTCTACAAATGTGCTTTTTAAAAAATAACCTTTAATTTAAAAAAAATATTCTTACTCAGTGGCCCACAATTGTTAAAAACGCTACTAATGGAGCTGGGTATGGTGACATACACCTGTCATCCCAGCTACTTGGGAGACTGAGGCAGGGGTATTGCTTAAACTTGGGAATGTGAAACCAGCCTGGGCAACATAGTGAGATCCCAATCTCAAAAATCAATCAATCATTAAAAAATAAAATAAAACACTACTAATAGCTTTTTAAAAAATAGTTCTTAACCAATTTTCCTAACACCTTCCTTTCCTCACTGAAGTATAGAAATATGTGGTCAGGCACTGTGGCTCACACCTATAATCCCAATAATTTGGGAAGCCAAGGCATGAGGGTCAGTTGATTCCAGGAGTTCAATACTAGCCAGGGTGACATAAGGATACTTGGTCTCTAACAAAAATTTTTTTGTTCTTTAATTACCAGGGCATGATGGTGCATGCTTGTAGCCCAGCTACTTGGAAGACTGAGGTAAGAGAATCACTTGAGCCCAGGAGGTCAAGGCTGCAGTGAGCCATGGTTGCACCACTGCACTTCATACCTGGGTGACAGAGTGAGACACAGTATCAAAAACAAACAAACAACAACAAAAAGTATTTGTTTTAGAAAAAACATTTGGTGAGGTTGGGGCTTAAAAATATATTATTCTAAAATATTCATAAATATTCTCTAGTAATGATAAGATTAAAGTGACAAAGACAAACATTTTCCTGTGCAGTTCCATCTCTCACCTTCCCGTAATTTGTCTGTCCCATCCAGCTTCCAAAGGAAATTATTTACAAAATAATGTCTGCATCCTGGGTCTATATATCTATTGCCTATGAGGAGAACGTTTAAGATCTGAGCCATCTTCAAGTCTTATACTTTGTGTATAGCTCTCATGTTTTTGCAGGTTAAGTAAGTTTGTATACCCTTTCTTTTATTAATCTGTGTATGGTCAGTTCATTTCGGGTAATCTTCAGAGGGTGAAAGGGGAAGCTTTTCACTTCACTCCTACTGTGACAACTAACTACCTTCTTACTTATTCAATTTTTTAGTCTATATCAACACTTTCATATACATTTACTTTTAAACAAAATTTTCCATCATTACACTTAAAATTTATTTACCTTTTAAAAAGGAAATTAAAAATAAAATTAAAAATTATAAAATTTTACATAATAAAAATAAAATAAATGATTTATATAAAAATTAATCTGACCTGTGAAAAACACTATCCAGAGGCCAGGCGCGGTGGTTAACGCTTCTAATCCCAGCACTTTGGGAGGCCGAGGTGGGTGGATCACGAGGTCAGGCGATCTAGACCACGATGAAACCCCTCTCTACCAAAAATACAAAAAATTAGCCGGGTGTAGTGGCGGGCTCCTGTAGTCCCAGCCACTCAAAGAGGCTGAGGCAGGAGAATGGCGTGAACCCGGGAGGCGGAGCTTGCAGTGAGCCGAGATCGTGCCACTGCAATCCAGCCTGGGTGACAGAGCCAGACTCTGTCAAAAAAAAAAAAAAAAAAGAAAAAGAAAAACACTATCGAGAGAATAAAAAGACATATCACAGACTGGGAGTAAAAATTTACAAAAGCTATATCTGGTGAAGATACATTTGTTATCCAAAATATACAAATAACTCTCAGGACTCAATAATAGGAAAACAAATAGTCTAACACAAATGTAGAGATCTGAACAGACATTTCACCATAGAATACAGATGGATGATACGTAAGAACATTGAAAGATGTTCAACGTCATTCATCATTAGGGAAATGTAAATTAAAACCACAATGAGATACTGCTACATGCCTATTAGAATAGATAAAATTTAAAAGACTGACCATACTAAACATTGGTGAGAACACAAAGGAACAGGAATGCTCATACACTGCTGCTGCAAATACAGCAACTTTGTCAGTTTCTTTAAAAGTTAAACTGGCCGGGAGTGGTGGCTCATGCCTGTAATCCCAGCACTTTGGGAGGCCAAGGCGGGTGGATCACGAGGTCGGGAAATCGAGACCATCCTAGCTAACACGGTGAAACCCCGTATCTACTAAAAATACAAAAAATTAGCCAGGCGTGGTGGCGAGCGCCTGTAATCCCAGCTACTCTGGAGGCTGAGGCAGGAGAATGGCGTGAACCCGGGAGGCAGAGCTTTCAATGAGCCTCCATGCACCACTGCACTCCAGCCTGGGCGACAGAGCGAGACTCTGTCTCAAAAAAAAAAAAAAAGTTAAACATATCACACCACTTAGTCATTCAAATCCTGCTTATTTGCCCAAGACAAATGAAAGCGTATGTCCAAATGATTGGACAAACATTCGTAGCAACTTTATTTGAAATAGCAAAAACAACTGGAAGCAAACCAAATGTCCATCAAGAGGTGAGTAGATACACTAACTGTAGAATACCCATACAATAACACTTTTTTTTAAACTAAGGGGCAAAAAACAAAAAAACCAAAGATAGAATCTAATTTCTTGGTAAATACATTCACTATTAGGGTTTTTATAACAGAGAAGTCATTCTTTATTAACACTCTTTTGACTATTAAAATATTTTGACATCAAAAATCTGCAAAATATGAAGAAACAAGGGACACACAGCTTTTTCTATTTTCTATTTTTATTTTATTTTTATTTTTTTGAGAAGGAGTCTCTTTCTGTCACACAGGCTAGAGTGCAGTGGTGCGATCTTAGCTCACTTCAAGCTGTGCCTCCCAGTTCACGCCATTCTCCTGCCTCAGTCTCCCGAGTAGCTGGGACTACAGGCACCCGCCACCAAGCCCAGCTAATTTTTTGTATTTTTAGTAGAGACGGGGTTTCACCGTTAGCCAGGATGGTCTCAATCCCTGACCTCGTGATCTGCCCGCCTCGGCCTCTCAAAGTGCTGGGATTACAGGTGTGAGCCACCGCCCCCGGCCCCAGGACACACAGCTTTAAAATTTCTCCTTGGTCTCACCCAGTGCCAACCACCTAAAACCTCTCATTTTCCCCCAGACATTTCTTCTGCCTCCAGGATGGAGGTAGAGAATCTTGGCCTTGGGCCACGCACTGGGGACCATGCTAGGCTGCCGTGGTCAGTGACAGACTCAGGTTCTCACCAGCATCCCCAAAATAGGCCCCTGAAAAAAAATGTTACCATCAGGGTGCGCTCCCTGATTCTTGTGTCTGCTGGAAGGAGGAAATCAAGCCAGGAACGTTGTCAGGATAGAGATGAAAATGGGGCTCACTTTTCTGTCTCTTGTGATGTCAGACAAGCCTTTCAGCTCTGTCTCCTCAGCCCTCATGGAATCGTTTGGTGTGGACGCACCGATATTCTGAACTGGGTCTCCTTTCCCTCTGCCCTTCTCTGGAGCCAGATTCTGAGCTCTCCATTCCAATTTTTCCCCCAATTTGCCCTTGCGTTTATTTATCTGGATTACTGTCTGCCTGTCCCAAAGAATAAAAGCTTTATCACAGTGGGAACTTTGTTTAAAAAAATAATAATAACAGCTATATTTTTAGGATCCATGACACTGTCCAGCATATCGGTGGTATCTGATAAAAAATGTTTGTTGACTGAATAAACAAATATATTATTCACAATTCACATTATCCTGAACTGGCTAGAAAATTAAATATCTGATATCAGTATTGGCAGCATTATGAAGTAAATATAATTCTGACACAGTGCTCGTGAAAGTCTAATATGAAATGCTCATTTTAGAAAACATTTTCTTGTAGATTTGAAAATGTTTCATCTCCATGAACTAGTTGTATATCTGCAAGTTGCGTTTCTTTGGGTTAGGCAGAAAAATTGCCCCCCACCAAAGACAGCCACATCCCAGTCTTCAGATAAGGTGAACATACTAACGTAAGTTAGCATGTTCAAAGGGACTTGGCAGATGTGATTACCATTAAGGGTATTGAAATGGGGAAATTACCTTGAATTACCTTGGTGAGTCCAATCTAATCTCATAATTCCTTGAGAGCAGAGAATATTTTCTGGATGCTGAGATTCAGACAGATGGCAGTATGAGAAAGATGTGGCCTGCTATTACTGGCTTTTAAAACAGTGGTAGGGGGCCACAAGCCAAGGAAAGCCAGTGACCTTTAGAAGCTGGGAATGACCCAAAGTTTTCAACCAGGAAGAAACTGAGGATCTACAACCACAAGGAACTGAATTCTGCCAACAACCCAGATGCTCTTTTAGAGCCTTCAGAAAGAAATGCCGCCTGCCAACATCTTGATGTTAGTTCAGTGAGAGCCATGCCAGATTTCCAACCAAAACAATTCTAAGACAATAAGTTTATGTGTGTTTTTTAAAACTGACTCAAATCTTACAAAAATGTGTACCTTTAAGCCACTGAATTTGTGGTAAATTATTACAGCAGGAATAGAAAACTGATACAACCCTAGAGAAAGTCTTGTACATGTGCTCTATAAACACACAGCAGAATTTTTTTAACTTTTTATTGAGTTAAAAAAATATATATAATTTACCATCTGTACATTTTTAGAGGACAGTTTAGTGGTGATAAATACATTTATATTTTCTTCTCTTAATCTCCTCTTCCAACTCCCCTTGCTGGCCTCTAGCAACCACCAATTTACTTTCTATCTTCATGAGATTCACTTTTTTACTGCCCACATATGAGTGACAACATGTGATATTTGCCTTTCTGTGCTTGGCTCATTCCACTTAACATAATGGCCTATGTTCATTACGTTAAGCCAAATGGCCAGCGCCACCTATGTTGCTGCGAATGACAAAATTTCATTCTTCTTTGTATCTGACTAGTATTCCATTATGTATATATATGACTTTTAAAATCTATTCATTTGTTGATGAGCACTTATGTTGATTCCATATTTTGTCTATTGTGAATAGTGCTGCAGTACACATCGGCATGTAGATATGTCTTTGACACATTAATTTCCTTTATTTTGGATATATATCCAGTAAAGAAATTGCTGGGCCACATGGTAGTTCTATTTTTACTTTTTTGAGGAACCTCCATACTGTTCTCCATAGTGGCTTTATTAATGTAGATTCCCACTAACAGTGTACTAGTATTTCCCTTTCTCCACATCCTTGCCAGCATCTGTTATTGCCTGTCTTTTTGAAACAAGTCATTTCAACCAAGGTGAGATGATATTGCGTTGTGATTTTGATTTGCATTTCTTTGACGATTAGTGATATTGAACATTTTTTCATCTTCCTATTGGCCATTTGTATGTCTTCTTTTGAGAAAATATCTGTTCAGATCTTTAGCCCATTTTTAAATTGTATTTATTTATATATTTTTAACTATTATTTTTTTAGAAGCAAGGTCTTGCTTTGTCACCCAAGCTAAAGGGCAGTAGCATAATCATAGCTCACTGTAACCTCAAACTCCTGGGATTAAGAAATCCTCCTGACCGGGCGCGGTGGCTCACGCCTGTATTCCCAGCACTTTGGGAGGCTGAGGCGTACAGATCACGAGGTCAGGAGATCAGGACCATCCTGGCTAACACGATGAAACCCCGTCTCTACTAAAAATACAAGAAATTAGCCGGGCTTGGTGCCGGGCGCCTGTAGTCCCAGCTACTCAGGAGGCTGAGGCAGGAGAATGGCGTGAACCCCTGGGGAGCAGAGTCTGCAGTGAGCCGAGATCGCGCCACTGCACTCCAGCCTGGACGACAGCGAGACTCCATCTCAAAAAAAAAAAAAAAAAGAAAAGAAATCCTCCTACCTCAGCCTCTTCAGTAGCCCATTTTTCAATCAGATTTTTTGTTTATTATTGAGTTGTTTGAGCTCCTTATATATTCTACTTGTTAATCCTTTATCAGATAGATAGTTTGAAAATATTTTGTCCCAGTCTGTGGTTGGCTCTTCGCTTTGTTGATTGATTCCTTTGCTTGAGGCTTTTTAGTTTGATATAATCCCGTTGTCTATTTTTGCTTCTGTTGCCTGTGCTTCCGAGGTCTTACGCAAAAAAATCTTTGCCCAGACTAATGTCCTGGAGCATTTCTCCTATGCTTTCTTTTTTCTTTTTTTTTTTTTTTTTTCACACCTTTCTCCTGCCTCAGCCTCCCGAGTAGCTGGGACTACAGGCGCCCACCATCATGCCCCGCTAATTTTTTTTTTTTTTTTTTGTATTTTTAGTAGAGACGGAGTTTCACCGTGTTAGCCAGGGTGGTCTCGATCTCCTGACCTCGTGATCCGCCTGCCTCGGCCCCCCAAAGTGCTGGGAATACAGGCGTGAGCCACTGCGCCTGGCCTTTCCTCTGCTTTTTTTTTTTTTTTTTACTAGCTTCATAGTTTGAGGTCTCAGATTCAAGTCTTTAATCCATTTTTATTTGATTTGATTTTTGTGTATGGTAAGATGGGTTTAATTTTATCCTTCTGCATACAGTTATTCAGTTTTCCCAGGATCATTTATTGAAAAGACTGTTGTTTTCCCAGTGTATGTTCTTGATGCCTTTGTCAGAGATGAGTTGTGTGTAAATGTGTACATTTGTCTGCAGTCTCTATTCTGTTCCACTGTCCTATGTGTCTGTTTTTACGCCAGTAGAAATATATTGGCAATAATTAGTACAGAAAAGCTGAAACAATGAAATGACAAAAGTGATTTATACTGATATAATTCCTTATTCTCACTAAATGCAATAGCATACAGCTAGGAAAACAATGTAGTGCACACGGTATTAAAATAGAACACAATTCAATATACACAGTGCTCACAGTGGCCATCGTTAGAGTGTTGACGGGGATGCAGTCAGCAAAAGTTGTACAGGTGACTTCAAAAGTAATCATAAGCACTTATGATTACTTTTGGCTTAATTTCTTAAACCAAGACTGGAGACACAGGTGTTCATTATGTGCTTATTATACATATACAATAAATATTTTATAAATATATTGTTTCTATTCAGTATTTAATAAAGTAAATCAATAGAAAAGGTTAAAAATCAATGCACACATATTTCAAATATTTTTTGCTCCAAGTTATATAAACATTGCATAGTTATTGCCCTGGGCCTGCCAAGTTGACTCACACCTCTCATCCTAGCACTTTAGGAGACTGAGGCAGGAGGATAGCTTCAGCCCCAGAAGTAAAGGCTGCAGTGAGCCTTAATTGCACTACTGCCCTCCAGCCTAGGTGACAGAGCAAGATGCTGTCTGAAGATAAAAATAAAAATAAGTTGATAAATAAATATATGTTTATATATTAACTGATTTTATTAACTATATATATGTGTATATATATATATATATATATATATATATATATATATATATATATATATAGTTGTTTTCTTAGTCTATAGGCAATCTTACAGTGCTTAAGACTTTGATACTGAGAACAGATCTCCTAGGTATATGCTGTGTTTCTGGGGTGACATGATGCTCTCATCTGGCCTCCGTGAGCCTAATTCTATCTTACATTTACCCCACTCTTCAACAACAACTTGGGGAGGTTTCCCTAAACATTCCTAGGTGAACCCAAACCTATGGCCCTCAACACATTTCTAGGTAAAGCAAGCTCCTGACATATCTGTGGATATCCTCTCATTGGAAGAAGGGGGAAGAGACCATCTCAAAATAATTCATTTAATATAGCTTTTCAGCATTAATTTTATTTTGAGAAAGAGACACACAGTAAATAAAATTTCTAAAAAACTATAAACTTTCAAGCATTCTCATGCTAAATCTAGCCCTGCTCACATGCCAGGGAAATAAAAATGTAATCTGTTTCTCAACCTGACCAGGATGCTACAGTAATTAAAAATAAACTCAATCCCTGGATCCCTACCAAAGGGTCATTTCATATGGATCAAAGTTCTGGTAAAATTATTTGTCTGGAAATAGACTAATTCTCCAAAATATAATTGAAATAGCCTCTGGAAAGGGCCAAATACGACTCTTAATGATACAACAGGAAAATATAGGTCTGATGTTCATTCCGTGTGGACAACAATAGCAGCCATTCCCACAAATGTCTCATTTGTGGGAAGTAAACACTACTTTTGCAGAATCTTACATGATTTCAGTAGAAGGGCAAGGACATTTCAGTTGGGAACAGATTGCTCCATGGTAATGTGATCACTATGTACCCAACAATGGCTCTTTCTTCCTAACGTCAATGCAGATGTTATTTTCACCTTAACTATTATCATTGCTGTTTCTAACCACATAAAAGTGTATCCTTTATATATCTGAAGTAAATTCATACTAGTGGTGTAACATCTCCAGCCATTTAAGTGTAAAAACAGAAAACGTATGATGTGTTGACTTACTGTTTTATACTCCTAACGCATGAAGAGAAGATCCTTTTATTCATTGCCTATACTTTTATTTCTAAACTTTCTGTAACACTTTATCTTATATCCAGCATAGAACTGAGATTTGCTTTTTGATTTAATCTGACAATATTTTTCCTCTAATAAGAGTCAAGCCCACTTACTTTTAATGATAAATTGTGTTTGTTTATATTTTGATAGCCGTATATTATGCTATGATTTAGATGCACATATCTGTCTTTTGCTGTCTTGTTTGTTTTTATTGCTTTTGTTTTGATGTTGTGATATTTGGAAGAGTTAAACTTTTATTCTGATGGCTACCTTATGTAATTTCATAAAATCATCTCTTTCTTTAGACAGTAGCGAATGTCTCTAAACTAAGAACAATGATATTAGCTGTATTCTCTTTCTTGTCCTCCCTATGTGATTTTTCATCCCACAATTTGATTTAATCATATTAACTTTGTTTCCCCTGGTGCCATTAAGTATGCTTACATTTCTATAAACAATATCCTTTGACTCCCAGGCATTACAGATGAGCAGTCAGTAAAATCATTCTGAGGAATACTTTCTCTTTCCTTTTCTTCCATTTTTCTTAGTTGTATCATTTCTATATTGCCAGAGCACCTATAGTTGCATTTCTTTCTGTCAGCTTTATCCAGCATTTGTTTTTGTCTTTTATTTGAAGTTAAATATATTCCTTGCTCACTACAACACTGGGGGAAGGAAGGTTTCTGTTGTCATTGTTGTGCTTGTACAGTTGTTTATTTAAAAACATTGGTGAAAATAAAAACTGTATGTAGATGGAGTGGAGATAAGACAGCAAATGAGAGAGACTGATGATGAGTGTGCCTATTCTAGACTGGGAGGCGTGCTACACTGAGTAGTGTCTCAAGGCCACAGGAAAGGATGGTTGATTGTGAGCAGGTGGCCTTTCCACTGGAGGAGAGAAGTCCTGCGCTCAACAACCTGTGCAGAACCAGAAACTGGTAATGCTTCAAATCAACTTACAGACCTGGAGGTAGAAATTTAAGAAAACTCGTTTAGCACTTAGTTACCTAGAAAATATTAGCAACTATTTGCTGAGCATCTATCAGTCTGTCTGTAGCATGGAAGACCTGAGTACAGGGGAAACTGGATTAGTAACAGTGGGTCAGAAAATTATATAATATTCAACCAAAATTCCTGCTTTACATACACAGCACCTGGTATTTCCAGAACTAGAAGGTAAAGAAATTATTTGTGCTTGAACTTGCAGAAAAGTGCCTTTTCCCTTCTTCTCTTGCATCTTAACCTGGAGCTTCCCTTTTCTTGAGCCTCAGTGTGCTTCCCAACTCAATTTATAGTTGACTTCCTGCAGTTTCTCTTTAGGACAGGGCTTTGTTTTGGGGGTGGTTAATTTGTAGGGTTCATAGGAAACAGACCACTCACAGCACCTGCTTTTTGGCATCCTCACTCTCAGCTATGAGTTGAGGCCCAGGAAGCCTTCTGCCAGCCTCAGCTGCCGTTCTCAGATTAATCTGCTGAGTTCTTTTCGCCTAGTAAGAATCTCTGAATTTAGGAACATAGATGTTAGCGCTTGTATTTCTAGGTTTTCCAGTTCCCAGGGCCATTAAACATTTTTTTCTTTCCTTTCCTTCTTCCAAAAAAATTGGTGATTTGCCTGGGTCCCTGTGGTTTAACCTCACAAAAGGTCCATGATGACACCCTGTTACATTGTTTTGTCATAGTTAATACCTTGTTATCCCAGTTGCTCAGTCAGTTTTGTGAGAGATTCAGGGATATTAATAAAACTGTGCTGCTGCTTCTACTAACACCTTGCATAAAAACCCTATTAATTAAAATGTTTATTTTGCATGTGATTTGAACTTGTAATTTTTATTCAAAGTTTTTCAACAGAGATCCAGAAAAGACCCTCATTATATTTTTAGTTTTGTGCATTGCAACACTTTTTAGTGAAAAAAAAAATACATGAGAACAACACAAGTGATTTTAAAAGAATAAACCTACAATCCATTAATTATAAAATGAAATACTATGCAGGTGTTAAGAATGAGGGAATCAATAAGAACTTGTGTGGGGTAACTATAAACTTTAAAAAAAAAATTAATGCTCATGTGACCATATTATCGTTAAAAAAATACAAGCATACTTGCACACACCTTCAAGCAAAATGGGTACACGCATTTAAAAATATTTAAATTAAGTAAATGGCCCAATAATTTAACTTTGTATAATTCTATGTTCTCTGATTATTTTATGTGCTAGAAACAGGCATTACTGTTGTGTTTATTTCATTTGAAATAATTGTAGTCACATGAGGTTTAAGTTATAATACAGAGAGGTCACATATGCCTATTTTCTAATTGGATACCTTATTTATTACTGTTGAGTTTTGAGAATTTTTTACATATGCTAGATGTAAGTTCTTTGTCAGATATATGGTATGCAAATTATTTCTCCCAGTCTGTAATTCATTTTTTCAACCTCTTTACAGGGTCTAAGTAAAAAAAAAAAAAAAAAGTGTTTATTTATTTTAATGAAGTCCAGTTTTATCACTTTTTCCTTCTGTAGATTTTGTTTTCAACATCAAGCCTAAAAATTCTTTGCCTAGCCCAAGGTCTCAAGAGTTTTCTTCTATTTTAAAAAGTTTAATGAATTTATTTATTTATTAATTATTTTTGAGACGAGGTTTCACCAAAGCTGTAGTGCAGTGGTGTCATCATTGCTCACTGCAGCCACTAACAGCTGGATTGAAGTGATCCTTCCACCTCAGCCACTTGAGTAGTAGCTGGGATTACAGGCATGAGCTACCATACACAACTTTAAGTTTTATAATATTGCATTTTACATTTAAGCCTGTGATTTATGTGAGCTAAATTTTATATAAAGTATAAATTTAGGTCAGTCTTAGTTTTTGTACCTGTGAATGTCCAATTGCTCTAGCACCATTTGTTGAAAAAGATATCCTTCCTTTAAACTGATTTTGCATCCTTGTAAAAAAAAAATCAGTTGAATATAGTGTGGTCTGTCACCTTTTAATAAGATAAAAACATTGGCACTCACCAGATATCGAAGTTTAGAAATTTTTTTAAAGCTAAACTTCTGAAGATAGAATAAAAACACCTTCACATGTCAAATTAGTCAATTTGTATAGGACTAATTCATTTAAATATATTAAAATACAAAATAATTCAAACCACTAAAGTGATAATACAAGACTATAAATTTAAAGGCTAATTATTAAGTCAAATTGCTGTATTCTACTTGTTAGAGTGAGTTCAAAAGATCCATTGTATTACTGAATAGGCAAAAGTTTTAATTTCAGAGGATGAAACTGATATATTACTGCCACCTTGTGGATATTCTGTTATTACAGGCTATTATAAAAAGCAATGAGGGTATGTAATCTGTTCTAACAAGAAGCGTTTCCTTTTTTTTGTCGTTTTTATTATTGTTATTATTACGTTTTAAGTTCTGAGATACATGTACAGAACGTGGAGGTTTGTTACGTAGGTATACACATGCCATGGTGGTTTACTGCACCCATCAACCCATCATCTACATTAGGTATTTCTCCTAATGCTATCACTCCCCGAGCCTCCCACCCCCCTGACAGGCCCCGGTATGTGATGTTCCCCTCCCTGTGTCCATGTGTTCTCATTGTTCAACTCAAAAGAAAAACAGAAGCATTTTCTGCTTTCCCAATTTCTTAAATACAATGCAACTTTATGTTTAATTTAACTAACTTAATTTTTTGAGACAAGGTCTAGCTCTGTTGCCCAGGCTGGAGTGGAGTGGCGTGAATATGGTTCAGTGAAACCTCCACCTCCCTGGCTCAAGTGATCCTCCTTCTTAAGCCTCTCGGGTAGCTAGGACCACAGGCACGCACCAACATGGCCAGCTAATTTCTTTTTTATTTTTTATAGAGATGAGGTCTCACTTTGTTGTCCACGCTGGTCTCAAACTCCTGGGCTCAAAGGATCCTCTTGCCATGGCCTTCCACAGCGCTGGGATTTATAGGTGTGTGCCATGGCACCAGGCCTAAGCAACTGTAGAGAAGCCTTTTTTTCTTTCATAAAATCTGTTGTAGATATTTTCCTTATGGAATTTATTTGTGGTGAAATATTTTAATAGACAGTTTAATTTGTTAAATAATTTGTCTCAGATAATAATTGATTAATATTAAAACTACAAAACAAGTAGGGTCTTCTTTTTCTATGAAAAATGAAAGTTGATTCTGACATTTATGTAAACATTTTAAATATTCAAAGTATATAAATGTGAAGTCCTATCAAGAGTAATTAGACAAGAGAAAGAAATAAAGGGCATTCAGATCGGAAAGGAGGACATCAAATTGTTCCTATTTGCAGATGACATGATCTTATATATAGGAAAACCGGAAGACTCTACCAGAAAACTTTTAGAACAAACAAATTCAATGAAGTTGCAAGACACAAAACTAATACACAAAGATTGGTTGCATTTATATTTATGAACAACAAACTCGCTGAAAAAGAAATTAAGAAGGCAAACCCATTTACAATACTTACCAAAAATAACCCAGACATAAATGTAACCAAGGAGGTAAAATGAAAACTACAAAACACTAATGAAAGAAATTGAAGAGGATACAAACAAATCAAACAAATGAAAAGACATTCACACTCATGGATCAGAAATATGAATGTTGTTAAAGTGACAGTACTACTCAAAAGTAACCTACAGATTCAATGCAATCTCTATCAAAATACCTATGAACATTCTTCACAAAATTAAAAAAAAATCCAAAGAGATTTTATGGAATCAAAAAATATCCTGAATAGCCAAAGCCATCCTAAGCAAAAAGAACAAAGCTGGATGTATCATGCTACCAGACCTCAGAATATACTACAAAACTGTAGTAACCAAAACATCATGGTATTGGCATAAAAACAGACACATAGACCTATGGAATAGAATAAAGAACCCAGAAAATCCACATATCTCAGCCAACGGATTTTTTACAAACATGCCAAGAACACTCATTGGGGAAAGGATAGTCTCTTCAATAAATGGTGCTGGAAAAACTGGATATCCATATGCAGAAGAATGAAACTAGACCTCTGCCTCTCACCCTATACAAAAATCAACTCAAAGTACCTCAAATACCCAAATATAAGACCCAAAATGGTAAAGCTACTAGAAGAAAACATAGGGGAGATCCTTCAGGACATTGCTCTGGGAAAATATTTTATGAATAAGGTATCAAAAGCACAGGCAACAAAAGAAAAAATAAACAAATGGGATCACATCAAGCTAAAAATCTTCTGCACAGCAAAGGAAATAATAAAGTGAGTGAAAAGACAACCTACAGAATGGGAGAAAATATAAACTCATCTGGCAGGAAATTAATATCAAGAATATACAAGGAATTCAAACATATCAACAGCAAAGAAGCACAACAATCTAATTAAATATAAACAAATGCTCTGAACAGACATTTCTCAAAAGAAGACATACAAATGACCAACAAATATATGAAAAAATGTTCAACACCACTAATCAGCAAGGAAATGCTAATCAAAGCCACAGTGAGGCATCATCTTACTCCAGTTAGGATGGCTATTATAGAAGAGACAAAAATAACAAATGCTGACAAAGACGTGAAGAAAAGGGACCTTTTTTTTGACAGAATCTCACTCTCTGTCCAGGCTGGAGTGCAGTGGTGGTGTAATCTGGCTCCCTCTGCTTCTAGGGTTCAAATAGTTCTCCTCCCTCAGCCTCCTGAGTAGCTGGAGAAAAAGGAACTCTTATGCACTGTTGGTAGGAATGTAAATTAGTGCAGCCAGTATGGAGAACAGTATTGAAACACCTCAAGCAATCCCACTACTGGGAATTTATCCAAAGGAAAGAAAAGCATTATATTGCAGAGACATCTACATCCCCCATGTTTATTGCAACAGTGTTCTCAATAGCCAAGATATGGAATCAACCTAGGTTTCCAACAACAGAGGAATGGATTTTTAAAATATGGTATATATACGCCACGGAATGCTATTTAGCCATAAAAAAGAATAAATAAAATCCTGTCATTCTCAGCAACTTGGATGGAACTGGAGAATATTATGTTAAGCAAAATAAGCCAGGAATAGAAATTTCAACACCACATGTTCTCACTCATGCAGAAGCTAAAAAAAAGTTGATCTCGTAGAAGTAAAAAGTAGAACAGAGGATAATGCAGGCTGAAAAGGGTAGGGAGAAAGGAGGAATAGTAAGAGATTTGTTAATGGATACAAAATTACAGCTAGGTAGGAGTAATAAGTTCTAGCGTTCTATAGTACTGTAGATGACTATAGTTAACAATACTATATTATGTAGTTTAAAATACCTAGGAGTAGTTTGAATGTTCCCAACACAAAGAAATAATAAATGTTTGAGATGATAGATATGCTAATTACCCTGATCTGATCACCATCTACATGTACTGAAACATCCCCATATAGCCATGAATATGTATAATCTTTGTCAATTTAAAAATTAAAAAAAAAAATCTTGGAGAATGCATTTGAAGGACTTGTACTCAAGAAATCAACTTAAGAACCTCGGTCTCCTTGGAATTTGTGTTTTCTAGACCAGTACTTCTCCAAATTAAAGCAAATTTAGGCTAGGCATGGTGGCCCATGTCTATAATCTTAGCACTTTGGAAGGCCGAGGCGGGCAGATCACTTGAGGTCAGGAGTTCGAGACCAGCTGACCCAACATTGTGAAACACTGTCTCTACTAAAAATACAAAAATTAGCTGGGCATGATGGCATGTGCCTGTAATCCCAGCTACTTTGGAGGCCGAGGCAAGATAATCGCTTGAACTGGAGAGGTGGAAGTTGCAGTGAGCCGAGATTGCACCACTGCGCTCCAGCCTGGGCAACAGAGCAAGACTCTGTCTCAAAAAAAAAAAAAAAAAAGCAAATTTAGTTCACTTTGGTATTGTGTCAAAATGTTGATTCTTTTAAAGTAAATCTAAAGAATTTAGATGTAGTTGAAGCTTGTCATCTGTTCTTAATTTTTTTAATAAAAATATAATATTTTGATTCAGAGTAAATCTAAAGTGAGATCTGAAGCTGCTCCCAGGTGATACTGATGCTGCTTATTTTTGCCCAGATTTTGAGTCACAAGGTTCTAAATTATTGGTTTGAAGTCCTACATGAGTAATCACTTGGGGAGCTCAATTAACACCCAGCAACAGACTAATTATTAATAAACCAGAATCTTCAGTATTAGGCTTCAATCATTGGCAATTTTTTTTTTTTTTGACACACAGTCTCCCACTGTCGCCCAGGCTGAAGTCCTGAGGCCAGAATGAGACTAGGACATGGTTCCTTTGTCTAAGTAAAGTGAGGCAGACAATGGAATACTTCAGACTTCAAATTAGTATGGTAAGTGCTATGAAGAGTATGATTAGAGTTCATTACTTACCCAGAAAAGGGTCACTCAGCCCAGCCTGGGAGTTAGAGAAGGTTTCCTGAAGTCTTGACATGTGAGTCATGAAAGGACATAAGGAGTTAAACACGTGACAAAATAAGCTAAGAGAATTCTCAACAAAAGACAAAATATTGCCAAAGGCTTTTAGGCATATACTATCTTAGTATTATTGGGAGAATGTAATGACTTTCTGTATTTCAAAAGTGTAAAATACAAAGTGGGCCATGGTATGAGATAAACCAGTAAATATGTTCTGGGAACATATCATAGAAGGGCGTGTATGCTGTCCTAAGGAGCTTAAACTTCAACTTCAGTTCATGGGAGCCAATGACAAGATCTGAGCAGGGGAAGGATGTGGCTAGAGGGGCATTTTAGACAGACAAGATCGTCTGTGGATTACACCTAGGCTAAGCAACGGGTTAAAGTTGTTGTCTTAAGACAATAGTCCAGGTAAAAGATAATAAAGTTTTAAATTAGGATGTTAGTAGGAATGAGGAAGAGGGATGGATTTCAGAAATAGTAAGGAAATGTATTAGCAGGACTTGATTAGTGATTGACTTGGGGAAGGAGGGGAAGATAGAGTTCAGGATGACTCCGAGACTGTCTGGTGTCGGTGACTAATGACTGAAGCTATTAATAGAGGTAGGTAATGCAGACCAAAAGCAGGCCCGGGGTGAGAGATGATAAATTTGAATTTTAACATGTTGAGTTTGGACATCCAGGATGAAATAACCACAAAACATTTAAATATACGAATCTGAAAAGGTAAGCATCATAAGCATATGAGCTATTGGTAAAATTCTGATACTTAATGAAGTCTCGCAGGGAGGCAGTACAGAGGCAAGCAATGGGCTGGGGATAAAACATAGGGAAATATTATTTAAATAAAGATGAAAGAAAAGGAGCCCACAAACGAAGCTGAAAAGGCATAGTCAAAAAAAGAGGATTGCCAAAGTGCCACCTTTGAAGCTCTGCTGTTACACTTTATAAGGAAACTTTTGGTTACCTGGGATTGCATGCATTTATAAAAGTTTCTATTATTAGGAAGACAATAATAATGATAAGGCCCTTTCTCATTGTTGTCAGTGTAATTTATCTATTTAATTATAGAACCTAGTTCCAGGATGCTTAATCTGAAGTATATACTTGGGGCAAAATGAATTATATCTTAATAATAATCTGGAATTATTCTCTCTAACTTGACATATTTTTAATTCTTGCTAGATTTTCAAAACGTCATACCTCGAACCACCACCAGATGGCTCTGAGAATGTTACAAATATTGTGCCACCATATAATGCTTTCTCAGCCCAAGGCATGCCAGAGGTAAAATAAAATGCATTTGTAACCCAAGTCTTTAAATGGTTCTTTTGCTATATAAAACCTGTATAGAGGACTAAAACCAAGGAAATTAGGTGAATCATTCATGCGGATTCATTGTTTGATATTCAGTACTATGAAAACCTCATCCCTCAAATTTAAAAAATTATAATAAAATAGAAAAGAACACCAGACAGAGAAAAAAGAAACAAAACAAACACATTAAAAACTGACCCTGCTGAAGCAGATGCCACTCTTTGAAATAACAAAGAAACTGCTGAACACGCCTTTAATTCAGTGAGGCAATGGTGTTTTTTTGTTTGTTTGTTTTTGTTTCGTTTTGTTTTTTTGAGACGGAGTTTCGCTCTTGTCACCCAGGCTGGAGTGTAGTGGCACAATCTGGGCTCACTGCAACCTCCGCCTCCCAGGTCCAAGCAATTATCTTGCCTCAGCCTCCTGAGTAGCTGGGATCACAGGTGCACACCACCACACCCTGCTAATTTTGTATTTTTTTTAGTGGAGGCGGGGTTTCTCTATGTTGGTCAGGCTAGTCTCGAACTCCCAACCTCAGGTGATCGGCTCACCTCGGCCTCCCAAAGTGCTGGGATTACAGGCGTGAGCCACCACGTTATAAAGGGAAACTTCCTATTTGCCCTCTAAAGGTTTGCAGAAAATGAATGGACAAAACATAAATTAATAGAAGAAAGAGGCAAAACAAAAATTCTGTAAAATGTAGGGGAAAAATCACAGGGTCTCTCTGTTACCCAGCATGAAATGCAGTGGTGTGATCATGGCTCATTGCAACCTTGAATTCTGAAGCACAAGTGATTCTCCCCCCTAAGCCTATGGAGTAGCTGGGATCACAGGGGCATGCCACCATGCACACATACATGGTTATTTGCTGGAGAGGAGATGGAGACTCTCTGTCCTGGATGTGAGACAGTTGGCTGGCATCTGGGTAAGGATGACATTCCCTCATTGCTAAAGAGTAAAAGAGGAAAGTGTCATGGATAGTGCAAGCAGGGACATGCCCTGACCTAGTGAGGTCCAGAGGCTTATATTGTCCTTCATAGGGGAGTGGGAAGAAGCGAGTGTAGGCAACCCAGGGGAAATAAATGACCTAAAATAAAAGAAATAGATCATCAGAAGTGTAGATGTATTAGTCAGGGTTCTCTAGAGTGACAGAATTAAAGGACTATATACATATATATATATGAAAGGGAGTGACATGGTTAATAATGAGTGTCAACTTGATAGGATTGAGGGATATGAAGTATTGATCCAGGGTGTGTCTGTGAGAGTGTTGCCGAAAGAGATTAACATTTGAGTCAGTGGGCTGGGGAAGGCAGACCGACCCTTAATCTGGTGGGCACAATCTAATCTGCTGCCAGCAAATATAAAGCAGGCAGAAAAATTTGAAAAGGAGAGACTGGCGTAGCCTCCCAGCCTACATCTTTCTCCCATGCTGGTTTCTTCCTGCCCTCAAACATTGGACTCCATGGCTCTCCTTTCTCATCAGTTTGCAGACAGCCCATTGTGTAACTTATGATCCTGTAAGTTAATAAACTCCTCTTTATAAATAAATATATATATGTGTGTGTGTGTGTGTGTGCATATATATATGTATGTGTGTGTGTGTGTATATATATATGTATATATCCTGTTAGTTCTGTCCCTCTAGATGTCACTGTCTAATACAGGAAGTTTATTAAGTATTAACTCACACAATCACCAAGTCTCACAATAGGCCATCTGCTGGATGAGGAGCAAAAAGAGCCAGCCAGAGTTCCAAAACTGAAGAACTTGGAGTCCATGTTCGAAGGCAAGAAGCATCCAGCATGGGAGAAAGATGTAGGCTGGGAGGCGAGGCCCGTCTCTTTTCACATTTTTCTGCCTGCTTATAGTATGGCTGGGTTGGCAGTTGATTGGATTGTGTCCACACAGATTAAGGGTGGGTCTGCCTTTCCCAGACCACTGACTCACATGTTAATCTTTTTTTGGCAACACCCTCACAGACACACCCAGGATGAATACTTTACATCCTTCAATCCAATCAAGTTGACACTCATTATTAACCATCACAAGCCCACCCCTTGTGAACTTGAACCCACACACATCTCCTGAGATCATACATAATCTTAAAATACAGACAATAGTTAGGTCATAATTACCCCAACATAATAAACTATCCTTCCTACAACTGGAAATGCACCAATCCCCAACCCAAATACTATTACATAAAGTAAACAATACTTAAATGCTGATATGAGGTGAGCAAATCTATGTCACCTGATAAAGAAAAGGGAAATGAAATGAAGATATTTTCTTAGTACAAGTGCATACATGCACAAACATGTTTTTAACAAAAGAAGAAGGAAATACTCATGATAGTTCCAGTCCTCATTTCTGCAGCTGGTCAGGTGGTCGTAGCTGGTATTGATAACTACTTTCTTCCACTATTCATTCTGTATTCCCTTTGCCTTCAGCAAGCAGCTCAGCAGGTCGTGACCCGGAGAGGATCTGGACCATTTGTAGTCCTACCTGGATTTGGTATAGTTTCCCATTTACCTTAATCAGAGTGCATGATAATACCAAGAGATGCCCTAATGGATCTCCTATATTCCATGCATACTCTTCCTCACTTCCGTTGTGGAGTAGCGGACTGACTTCATCTTGATAGTCTGGGTCAATCACTGCCGCCAACACTGTAACTCCATTATTAGCTTGTTGACTTAAAGGTAGGAGGACCCCAAAGCATCCAAGTGGCCATCTTAACTTCCAGTTTAATGGAATCCTTATTGAGTCTCCTGGTAGCAACGTTCTTCCCTCTGGAGCTAAGATGACTAGTAAAGCAGAACCTAATGTCGTGGGAACAGAAAGCAAACATTTTGCTAGTGCATCATAGTGAGTGGTTCCACTTTCATATCCACCCCTTGAATCCTGGATCTGTGAATACTGGCTATGGGAGAAACAATACCATACATTGGGCGCTGATTCAGAGCACACATGGTCTTCTGGAGTATGGTGCCCCGGCCCGGCCAAGTATTGTAACCTAGTTGACGTTGTAATCGCGACCTCAAAAGGCCGTCCCACCATTCTATCAATCCAGCTGCTTCAGGAAGATGGGGAATATGGTAAGACCAGTGAATTCCGTGAACGTGAGCCCATTGCCTCACTTCTTCACCTGTAAAGTGAGTGCTTGGTCAGAGGTAATGCTGTGTGGAATACCGTGATAGTGGATAAGGCATTCCTTGAGTCCATAAATGGTAGTCTTGGCAGAAGCATTGCATGCAGGTAGGTAAACTCATATCCGGAGTAAGTGCCTGTTACAATGAGGACAAACCTCTCTCCTTTCCATGGTGGAAGAGGTCCAATATAATCAACCTGTCACCGGGTAGCTGGTCGATCACCCCAGGGAATGATGCCATACAAAGGGTTCACTGTTAGTCTCTGCTGCTGCTGGCAAATTGAGCACTCAGCAGTGGCCACAGACAGTTCAGCCTTGGTGAGTGGAAGTCCACATTGCTGAATCCATGCATAGCCTCCATCCCTGACACCATGGCCACTATGTTCATGGGCTCATTGGACAATGACAGGGGTGTCTGAGGAAAGAGGCTGAGTGGTATCCACAGAACGGGTCATCTTATCCACTTGATTATCAAAATCCTCCTCTGCTGAAGTCACTTGTTGGTCAACACTCACACAGGGTACAAATATCTTCAGTTTTTGACCACTCAGAGAGGTCCATCTACATACTCTTTCTCCAAGTTTCTTTGTCACCAATTTTCCAATCATGCTTCTTCCAAGTCCCTGACCATCCAGCCAAACCATTGGCTACAGCCCATGAATCAGTATATAACCGCACATCTGGAAATTTCTCCTTCCATGCAAAGTGCACAATCAGGTGCACTGCTCAATGTTCTGCCCACTGGGAAGATTGTCCTTCACCACTCTCCTTCAGGGATGTCCTAGAAAGGGGCTGTAGTGCTTCAGCTGTCCACTTTTGGGCGGTACCTGCCTATTGTGGAGAACCATCTGTGAACCAGGCCCTAGTCCTCCCTTCCTGTGTTAACTGCTCAAAGGCAAGTCCCCATGAGGTCATCAGTGCAGGCCGTGGGAGAGAAGGCAGGGTGGCAGGGTGGGCATTTGAGCCACTTCCTCATGTAACTTACTTGTACCCCCCAGGACCTGCTTGAGCCCAATCACTTATACACCATTTCCATTTGATGATGCAATGCTGCTGTGCATGACCCACTTTATGGCTACATGAGTCAGAAAGCACCCAGTTCACGATAGGCAGTTCAGGTCGCATGGTGACTTGTTGACTCATAGTCAAATATTCAGTTTCCACAAAAGCCCAGTATAGGACAAGAGCTGTCTCTCAAAAGGAGAGTAGTTAACTGGAGAAGATGACCAGGCCTTGCTGCAAAATATTAGAGGCCTCCACCATGATTCACCTATGGAGGCCTGCCAAAGCCTCAAAGCAGCATTCCTATCTGCCATGGACACCTCAGGGGGACCCAGCCTCCCCTTCATTCAAGAGGTTCTGGGTCTGTAAACTGGCTCAAGGCTGGAAATTGATTGAGGGGCCATGAATCTCTGTTTTTATAATTCCAATTAGTCTTTTATCTGTTTGACCTTAAGTTTCCTCCTTACATAAATTAAGTAGGAATGCATTAGTCTTCCTGTCAGTTTCACTTCTAGGAACACTGTGATTAGTTAGCCAATGCCAGAGCTCTACATGAGTCAGACTGTTCAGATTGCTGCTTTGTCTTTTCTGCCCATTACGGTAGCTACACCCACCGTGCCTTTGAGGGTTGAGTGCTACCACTTGGCCCCTGCCACTTCAGGATCCAATTATTCCAAATTGTATTTAACTTTTGTAACTGAGTGACTGCAGTTCTCACCATTAGAACTGACATACAGAGAAGAGCCTTTACAGGGCTCTTCAAAGATGCAGGTGCTGTCCTCACAAATCTATTTTGCAAGGTGTTTGTCAAGGGTATTAGGTACAGAGTCACTAAACTCCTTGCCTCTCACGAGCGATGATTCATTAGTGTCGAATGAATTTGTTTTGCATAGCTCTTTAAACCTTTCATGCCAAGAACTGTCAATGTTCTCTACACTATTAAAAGTAGAGTCCTTAGCATTTTGGGATC